>NC_000003.12:124614664-124766180 GCF_000001405.40 Homo sapiens | reverse complement strand
TTCTGATTTCTGATGCCATTCTCTGCTCTGGGACCACTGCCCTTTCTGTCCTCATCGGCCTTTTGAAACTGCAGGGAGAGGAGGGATACAATTTCTTCTTTTTCTTTTTTTTTTTTTTTTTGACACAGGCTGTCACTGTGTCATCCAGGCTAGAGTGCAGTGGTGCCATCACAGCTCACTGCAGCCTTGACCTCCTCGGGTTCAGGTGATCCTCCCGCTTCAGCCTCCCGAGCAGCTGGCACTACAGGCATGCACCACCACACCGGGCTAATTTTTGTATGTTTTTGGTAGAGACAGGTTTTCACCATGTTGCCCAGGCTGGTCTCGAACTCCTGGGCTCAAACAATCCACCTGTCTTGGCCTCACAAAGTGCTAGGATTACAGGTTTGAGCCACTGCACCTAACCAGTACAATTTCTCATGAAGACCAGATCTGAGGTCACTGCTGCTCCACTCCTAGAGTTTAGAAGAAAGATGAATGTGCAGCTGGGGGCCCATTCTTGGGGCAAGCGCTAGTGGGAGCGTGAGTCAGGGCAATGGGAGTTATAGAAGGATAGGGCCCTGTCCCTGGGGAGGGTCTCATCTTGGAGGAGCACAGACGTGAAAGTAACCACAGAACATACCTACCCTGCACAGCCAAAGGCAGCAAGGAGCTGCTGTGTTCTGCAGGGAGGGTGCAGGGCATCTAGACCACCAGGGCTGGGCAGGGTATCACTCAAGTCAGGGAGCATCCAGCTCCACACACAGCCTGGGCGGGGCCACTGCTGCTTCCCAGCATGGATTCCAAGGACAACGGAGCACTGGGTTCAACATTCCTGCTGCTCCCATGCTCAGCTCCCAGCACCACTGAAGAGGTCAAGCTTTAATCCAAATACCAACATTCTGCCTCTGCTTGGACCCAGGGACCAATAGCCTTTGCCTTGGAGTAACTGGAATATCTGATATCACCCCTTACATTCTTCTTGGGGGTAGGGAGGCAGGGGTGGAGCAGAAAAAGATTTGCTCTCTTCAATCGACAGCACTGCAAACTATTTTTCCAAATTGAGCCCAACCACATAATGTGCCTTCCTGAGGCCAGAGGCAGAGAGAAGTGTGGTACCAGCCTAGGATGCACGCCTGTAAGAATGAGGCTTTGTTTCCAATGCTGTGTCTGAGGTTCTTTGAAAACAAGCACATTTACTCCAAGGGACACCACGCTAAAGGCTTACAAATGTTGGCCCCCAGCCCAGACCTTGTGGAAGTGGCTTCATGTGGCTTCATGGTACCTCCTGCCTGCCCAGTCTGCTCCTGAAACCATGTACACGAAAGCTGAGCGGGTCCAGCATCCTGCAATGGAGACTGGGCCAGGCGGGATGTGGGTGCTGCCCATGAGGGGAAAGGCAGCCCTGCCCCAGGGCCCTCATCTAGACTTTGCCACACTTGCTGTGTGACTTTAGAACAGTCACTGTCCCTTTTGAATCTTTCATTTTTTGTACATTGGGGAAACCCTCCTGAGGATCTAAGGGAGAGCCGAGGAGAAGGCCTTTGGAAGGGGTGCAACTTTCATCTCAGAAATGCCTGCAGTTGCGTGAGAGGGGCATGGTGATGCTAGTGGCTTTGCTTACCATGCTTCTGGTCCCCCCAGAGTGTGGAAACACCCCCAACGCCATGACCATCCTCCTGGCTGTGGTCGGTAGCATCCTCCTTGTTGGGCTTGCACTCCTGGCTATCTGGAAGCTGCTTGTCACCATCCACGACCGGAGGGAGTTTGCAAAGTTTCAGAGCGAGCGATCCAGGGCCCGCTATGAAATGGTAAGCACGTGGGAAATGGGAAGCAGAGGAGACTTCAAGCTCAGAGGCGTGGTTGAGTTCAGCGGTATGTTAGCAATAGAGGCTCACTAATGTCTTTGGCATTAAAAACAAAAGAATCAACACCAGAAACGCTGTGCCCAGTTCTGGAGAGAGAGAATTGCACAGCCCCAGTGCAGAGTGAGCTGCACAGATCCCTGTTCCAGACCCAGGTCAGGAAGGTCATGGGGGCAGAGGCGCTGGGCGTGCCTCAGGAAGAGTCTGACCAGTCTCAGAGAGAGCACAGACCAACAGGAAAGCTCAGATTCTTATGGTCCATTACAACACTCACACCTGCAGTCTGGTCACCCCAGGCAGACTGCAAATGCCCAGAGGACTGAGCGCAGTCAGTTTCTGCTGAACCTGGGCTTGGTTTCTGTTAAAGCTGGAAGGGACTTCAGAGACCTTCTGACCCAACTCCTCCTTCCAGAGGTGGATAGTGAAAGCTTAGAGAAGGCGATGGCTTTCCTGGGGAACACAGAGCTGTCCTAGAGCCCACGGCCGTCTCCTCCTGAGTGCTCTGCCTGCTGCTGTCGCAGGGGGCTGACCTGGGAAGGGATCCTAGGGCCTGCGTCTGTCGGTTTGAGTGTGTGAGCTAACATGTGTCCTCATCCTCTTCCCCGCCGTGTTCTGTAGGCTTCAAATCCATTATACAGAAAGCCTATCTCCACGCACACTGTGGACTTCACCTTCAACAAGTTCAACAAATCCTACAATGGCACTGTGGACTGATGTTTCCTTCTCCGAGGGGCTGGAGCGGGGATCTGATGAAAAGGTCAGACTGAAACGCCTTGCACGGCTGCTCGGCTTGATCACAGCTCCCTAGGTAGGCACCACAGAGAAGACCTTCTAGTGAGCCTGGGCCAGGAGCCCACAGTGCCTGTACAGGAAGGTGCCTGGCCATGTCACCTGGCTGCTAGGCCAGAGCCATGCCAGGCTGCGTCCCTCCGAGCTTGGGATAAAGCAAGGGGACCTTGGCGCTCTCAGCTTTCCCTGCCACATCCAGCTTGTTGTCCCAATGAAATACTGAGATGCTGGGCTGTCTCTCCCTTCCAGGAATGCTGGGCCCCCAGCCTGGCCAGACAAGAAGACTGTCAGGAAGGGTCGGAGTCTGTAAAACCAGCATACAGTTTGGCTTTTTTCACATTGATCATTTTTATATGAAATAAAAAGATCCTGCATTTATGGTGTAGTTCTGAGTCCTGAGACTTTTCTGCGTGATGGCTATGCCTTGCACACAGGTGTTGGTGATGGGGCTGTTGAGATGCCTGTTGAAGGTACATCGTTTGCAAATGTCAGTTTCCTCTCCTGTCCGTGTTTGTTTAGTACTTTTATAATGAAAAGAAACAAGATTGTTTGGGATTGGAAGTAAAGATTAAAACCAAAAGAATTTGTGTTTGTCTGATACTCTCTGTGTGTTTCTTTCTTTCTGAGCGGACTTAAAATGGTGCCCCCAGTGGGGATTGAAGCGGCCGTGTACTTCCTCAGGGATGGGACACAGGCTGGTCTGATACTCCAGACTGCAGCTTGTCAAGTAAGCATGAGGTGCTCGGGGCAGTGAGGGCTGTGCAAGGGGGAACACTGAGCAGATACCTTTGGCCCCTTCCAGCTTTTACTGACAGAGAGTTCCAGGCTAGACACCATAAAAACCACCCCTTGTTCTGAGGGGCTGAGGCTGGAAATAGATTGTACAGACAAGCAAGGGTTGAGTGGTGGTTCCCACACGAAGTCATCTCTTAATCATCATTAGCAATAGCAGTTCCCTTCCAAGGCCTCCCCTCACTCCCGAAACACTTACGTCCCATGCAGGCCCAATGCAAAAAAACACATTTGAGCTTTTTTCCCGCAGGGCCATGAAGTCCCCTTAAGTTCCCATATCTAAGATGGTTGACTGACCCTCTCCCCTTATGTACAGAAGAGGAAACTGATTCTCAGAGAGGGGAAGTGGCTTGCCCGAGTGTTTGTTAGGAGGTTACTGAATGACAAACTGTTCCTAAGACCCCATCTCATGCTGGCCAGAGGGCCAGCCTCCTCATTCCTGCTTGCTCTTAGAAAATCTTTCACTGATCATTTTTTGTCACTGGAATAACTTCAAGGTTATTATGCTTTCATTCCAAATGGATCTGTCCTCAGCTCTGGACCCAATTCCCCTTACTTCATTTTGGCAAACACTAAGTCAAATAGTGAAATGCCTGTCACTACATAGAACCTATTACCTGGGGCAAATACGAACAGATTGAGTTTCCTTCATCTTGTGTAAATATGATGAAACAGAGACCTGGTAACTTGGTGACACTGTTAAACCCTTTTTGGGATAAAGCCAAATGTAAATGAAAACATTAAACAGATAAATTGTGGTGTTGAGACTTTTCTGAATTGAGAAAAATAAATGTAATTTTGGAAGAAACTTTGGGTTTCTCTCATGTTTAATTTTGGGTTTCCTGGAGACAAATCATTAACTGGCTCAGAATCTCATTTTCTCTAAGGGCACGACATTCTTTTTTTTTTTTTTTAAGAGAGGATCTCACTGGGTCACTCAGGCTGGAGTGCAGAGGTGCAATCTCAGTTCTCTGCAGCCTCAATCTCCTGGTCTCCCGTGATCCTCCCAACTCAGCCTCCTAAGTAGCTGGGACTACAGGTGTGCACCATCACACCCAGATAATACTTTATTTTTTGCAGAGACAAGGTCTCACTATGTTGCCCAGGCTGGTTGGTCTACAACTCCCAAGCTCAAGCGATCCTCCCACCTTGGCCTCCCAAAGTGTTAGGATTACATACGTCAGCCACCGCGCCTGGCCTGGGCACAACATTCTTGAGCCACAGATAGCAAAGGAGGATTTGTTCTAGTTCCACTTGACGTGGAAAGTGAGGGTGTTTTCGTCTGACGCCGAGGGATGTTACGGAACCAGTGCTCACGGTGCCTTGCTGCCCCCTGCTGGAAGCTCTTGGCATGAGCTGTTTGGAGATCTGACTCCCGAGATTCCGACCCAATGTATAATTTTAAAGGTTATCCAGCGAGCTGCAAGTGACCACAAAGATAATCTATTCCAAACGCTTCATTTCACAACCCACCCCCAGATGGGTCATTTTGTAATTTTAAGATATTTTTATCAAAATGGGCCTTTGGCCGAGCATGGTGTCTCACGCCTGTAATCTCAACACTTTGGGAGACCAAGGTGGGAGGATTGCCAAAGCCCAGGAGTTCGAGACCAGCCTGGGCAACACAATGAGACCCTGGCTCTACAAAAAAGAAAAAAAAAAAACCAGGGAATTCTCATTCAGCTTGATTGACTAGTACTTTATTAAACTAACCAATCGCTACCTCTTCCAGGGAAGAAATGTGATTTTTAAATTTGTTTAATTAGGATCAAAGCTTGAGGTGATTATCATGAAACTCTTGGGATGAATTTCAGGTAAGAGCAAACAGATGGGGAAAAACGGGCAGGGAGGACAGAAGGTCCTTCTCTGCTGGAGTATGCCCTTTAGCTCCTCCCTCTCCCTGGAGGACATCCAATACCATGGTTCCTACTTGCTTCTGAGGACATCCTTGTATACTCAGCTGTTATGGAATGGATTGTGTCCCTGCAAAAATGCATTTGTTGTAAGCCCTAAAGCCCCAAAGTGATAGCATTTGGAGATGATGGAGCCTTTAAAGAATGAATTGCGATTAAATGAGGTCATAGGGTGGCACCCTAACTCAATGCAGCTGGTGTCTTTATAAGACCAGGTAGAGACCCCAGGGCTGCAGAGAGGAAAAGCTGTGTGAAGACACAGTGAGAAGGTGGCTGCCTGCAAGCCAACAGGAGAGGCCTTAGGGGAAACCATTTTTGCTGACACTTGATCAACTTCCACAGCCTCCAAAACTATGAGAAAGTTAGTTGTTGAAACCACCCAGTCTGTGATATTTTGTTACGGCAGCCTGAGCAGACTAATACAGCTAGTAACAAGCTTTGAGACTGGCAGAGAGGAGGCGGGGAGAAGTAAAAGACGCAAAGGCAGTGACAGTGACAGTGCTGGGATGAGGCTCCGGAAGAGGTGTTGCGCCTGTGGGGTGTGAGGTGCCTGAGGAAGCTGGGGGTTTGTCCAGTGGGCACTGGAAATGCAGACAGGGCATGGCATGTGAACATGCCTGGAGCTGGGTCACTGCCTGCATGGAGGCTGTGAGCACTCAGACAGCTGTGGCCTGGCTGCGACTCAGCGTTGGGGCTCCGAGGTCCTGGCTGCGACTCAGCGTTGGGGCTCCTCTGGAGGTCCCCCAGCTGAGAAGGCCTAGTTAGGTCTCTCCCACCCGGCATCCTGTTCTCCCCCAGCTCTGGGGCTCCAGACTTCATAGTCAGGACCCAGCTCCTACTCAGGCCTTCAGACCCTCCAGGGGTGCAAACATAAGAGCTGGAGGGAGAAGAATAGGAGAGACAGCTGTGAGGGGGCTGCGCCTGAGGAACAGTTCTTCTCAGCCCCCAGAGGCCCTGCCTGCTCAGTTGCTGCTTTGGGAGGGACCCATGGGAAGGAGGGAAAGACAGTCGCTGCCTGGCCAGCCCCCCATCTGCGAGAGCCACCTCCAAGACGGGTTGGGTGATGTGTCAGTGAGAAGGCCTTCATATCCAATTTCTTTCTCTTGGATGTGAATGTCAGGAAGTCCATCTCTCCCCATGACTGATGCTTCCTTCTGTCATACAATGGGGCCTGTATAATAGGTTTGGTATCTTGATGGTTAGGAAGCTGGGAACTGAATGCATTTAGTGGACCAGAGACTGTTCATAACATGGGGACAAGAGAAAAAGAGGCTCGGGTTCTTAGTGCCACCCCTTTTCCTCTCAACCCAACCCCACTGCCCCCTCCATTAACAACCCCCATCCTCTTCCTACCTTCCCCCTCCACACGTCCTGATCCTTCTGATAGATACCCAGCTGCATAACGTCTTCACTTTAAGATGCCTCGAATTCTTGGTGGAAAAAGGCAAGCTCTAAACAGCAAGGGGCAACCCATCAGGGGCAGCCACCTCACTGACCTGCTACAGTAGGAGTTCCTGACCCTTTTGGGTCATGGGCTGCTTTGACATTCTGGTGAATGCTACAGACACCCTTGTTAGAACAATGCCTATAAATGTGTAACAAAGAAGATGCTAAAAAGTCCAATCCTATTTCTCAGGGTTATCATCTCAGTTTGATTTCAAAAACACCCTCCCTGGAAGACACATCATTGAAAGCTTCATTGGTCCCACCCACATAGAATATCAGATCCCTGTGACTGAAAGCAAACTCCTCATTTGATCCTCACAACTACCCCACAAATACCACATTCAGGGAAGGTATTTCCCCATTTTACAAAAGGGGAGATTGAGAACAGTCACACCTTGAGTGACAGTTGGTGAGACCCAAGCTCAAGAATCCCTTCTCTAGAGTCCTCTGCCCTGCACCTGCTCCTGGAAGAAGTCTGTCTCTTCTTATCCCAGAATTCTGCCGCATGATTGGGGAGTCATCTGAGTCTCTGTCTTGGGGGCATACATCTCTACTGAAATAAAGTGAAGTGCTCTAAGAGCAGACTGATACATTATAAAATGTCTCTCCTTCCTCCTTGAATCTTTCTCTTTTGTCCTCATCACATGAGCAGTCTCTGGTACACACATGTGGAGGCCAAGGCAACTCCATCTTGGAAGTGAATCTGCCATGTTGACTTCTGATTAATTCCTGTTCTGGAAAGCTCTCTAAGATTTCCAGTTTATCTATTGTTCCTTGTGTAAGAGTAGGTACTAACTAAACAACCTTGATGTTATTGTATTTACCACAAGTTCTGCCCTTAAGCCATTGTCCTACACACCCCTTCTTTTCACATCCATCTCTTCCCTGTGGTCTGTAGCCCTAGGTTTAGGGGATAATGGTTCAGGGATCCAACAACTTGTCTCACCACTGCCCAAGAGACAGACATAGCTTCTGTTCTTAAGTCCCTATTAAATATTTCTTTCTGAGAAACTGGGTTTGTCAGGCTCTCTCTTTGACTTCTCAGCTTCCTCAGACTTTGAGGGGTAGGTGTGCACAGGCCTGCCAATGCAGAACAACACACGTTAACAAAAACCCCAGGAACTGTTCTATTTTTTTAAATGAAGGAAGATGACAACTGACACAAATGTCATGTTTCCTCGCACAGAAGTTCAATCCTTCAAAGACTCCTTTCTGTCAGGCCTCTGAGCCCAAGCCAAGCCATCGCATCCCCTTGTGACTTGCACGTATACGCCCAGATGGCCTGAAGTAACTGAAGAATCACAAAAGAAGTGAAAAGGCCCTGCCCCGCCTTAACTGATGACATTCCACCATTGTAATTTGTTCCTGCCCCATCTTAACTGAGTGATTAACCCTGTGAATTTCCTTCTCCTGGCTCAGAAGCTCCCCTACTGAGCACCTTGTGAACCCCGCCCCTGCCCACCAGAGAACAACCCCCTTTGACTGTAATTTTCCATTACCTTCCCAAATCCTATAAAACGGCCGCATCTCCCTTCGCTGACTCTCTTTTCGGACTCAGCCCGCCTGCACCCAAGTGAAATAAACAGCCATGTTGCTCACACAAAGCCTGTCTGGTTGTCTCTTCACATGGACTCGAGTGAAATTTGGTGCCGTGACTCGGATCGGGGGACCTCCCTTGGGAGATCAATCCCCTGTCCTCCTGTTCTTTGCTCCGTGAAAAAGATCCACCTACGACCTCAGGTCCTCAGACCGACCAGCCCAGGAAACATCTCACCAATTTCAAATCCGCTAAGCGGCCACTTTTTACTCTCTCCTCCAACCTCCCTCACTATCCCTCAACCTCTTTCTCCTTTCAATCTTGGCGGCACACTTCAATCTCTCCCTTCTCTTAATTTCAATTCCTTTCATTTTCTGGTAGAGACAAAGGAGACAGGTTTTATCCGTGGACCCAAAACTCCGGCACCGGTCATGGACTGGGAAGGCAGCCTTCCCTTGGTGTTTAATCACTGCAGGGACGCTCTCTGATTATACACTCACGTTTCAAGTGTGTCAGACCACGCAGGGACGCCTGCCTTGGTCCTTCACCCTTAGTGGCAAGTCCCGCTTTTCTGGGGCAGGGGCAAGTACCCCTCAACCCCTTCCCCTTCATCCTTAGCGGCAAGTCCCGCTTTCCTAGGGGGTAAGAACCCCCCAATCGCTTATTTCCGCACCCCAACCTCTTATCTCTGTGCCCCAATCCCTTATTTCTGCACCCTGACCTCTTATCTCTGTGCCCCAATCCCTTATTTCCGTGCCCCAACCCCTTCTCTGCTTCTGGAGGGCAAGAACCCCCCACCCCTTCTCCGTGTCTCTACTCTTTTCTCTGGGCTTGCCTCTTCACTATAGGTAAGCTTCCACCTTCCATTCCTCCTTCTTCTCCCTTAGCCTGTGTTCTCAAAACCTTAAAACCTCTTCAACTCACACCTGACCTAAAACCTAAATGCCTTATTTTCTTCTGCAATGCCGCTTGACCCCAATACAAACTCGACAGTAGTTCCAAATAGCCAGAAAATGGCACTTTCAATTTTTCCATCCTACAAGATCTAAATAGTTCTTGTCGTAAAATGGGCATATGGTCTGAGATGCCTGACGTCCAGGCATTCTTTTACACATCAGTCCCTTCCTAGTCTCTGTGCCCAGTGCAACTCGTCCCAAATCTTCCTTCTTTCCCTCCCGCCTGTCCCCTCAGTCCCAACCCCAAGCGTCGCTGAGTCTTTCTAATCTTCCTTTTCTACAGACCCATCTGACCTCTCCCCTCCTCGCCAGCCCAAGCTAGGCCCCAATTCTTCCTCAGCCTCCGCTCCTCCACCCTATAATCTTTTTATCGCCTCCCCTCCTCACACCTGGTCCGGCTTACAGTTTCATTCCGTGACTAGCCCTCCCCCACCTGCCCAGCAATTTACTCTTAAAAAGGTGGCTGGAGCTGAAGGCATAGTCAAGGTTAATGCTCCTTTTTCTTTATCCCAAATCAGACAGCGTTTAGGCTCTTTTTCATCAAATATAAAAATCCAGCCCAGTTCATGGCTCGTTTGGCAGCAACCCTGAGATGCTTTACAGCCCTAGACCCTAAAAGGTCAAAAGGCCGCCTTATTCTCAATATACATTGTATTACCCAATCTGCTCCCAACATTAAATAAAACTCCAAAAATTAAATTCCGGCCCTCAAACCCCACAACAGGACTTAATTAGCCTCATCTTCAAGGTGTGCAATAACAGAAAAAAGTTGCAATTCCTTGCCTCCACTGTGAGACAAACCCCAGCCACATCTCCAGCACAAAAGAACTTCCAAACGCCTGAACCGTAGCAGCCAGGCGTTCCTCCAGAACCTCCTCCCCCAGGAGCTTGCTACACGTACCAGAAATCTGGCCACTGGGCCAAGGAATGCCCGCAGCCCGGGATTCCTCCTAAGCCGCGTCCCATCTGTGTGGGACCCCACTGAAAATCGGACTGTTCAACTCACCTGGCAGCCACTCCCAGAGCCTCTGGAACTCTGGCCCAAGGTTCTCTGACTGACTCCTTCTTGGCTTACCGGCTGAAGACTGATGCTGCCTGATTGCCTCAGAAGCCCCGTAGACCATCACGGACGCCGAGCTTTAGGTAACTCTCACAGTGGAGGGTAAGTCCGTCCCCTTCTTAATCAATATGGAGGCTACCCACTCCACATTACCTTCTTTTCAAGGGCCTGTTTCCCTTGTCTCCATAACTGTTGTGGGTATTGACAGCCAGGCTTCTAAACCTCTTAAAACTCCCCAACTCTGGTGCCAATTTAGACAACACTCTTTTATGCACTCTTTTTTAGTTATCTCCACCTGCCCAGTTCCCTTATTAGGCCGAGATATTTTAACCAAATTATCTGCTTCCCTGACTATTCCTGGACTACAGCCACATCTCATTGCCGCCCTTCTCCCCAACCCAAAGCCTCCTTCGAGTCTTCCTCTCATATCCCCCCACCTTAACCCACAAGTATAGGACATCTCTACTCCTTCCCTGGCAACCGATCACATGCCCCTTACCATCTCATTAAAACCTAATCACCCTTACCCCGCTCAACGCCAATATCCCATCCCACAGCACGCTTTGAAAGGATTAAAGCCTGTTAACACTCGCCTGCTACGGCATGGCCTTTTAAAGCCTATAAACTCTCCTTACCATTCCCCCATTTTACCTGTCCTAAAACCAGACAAGGCTTACAAGTTAGTTCAGAATCTGTGCCTTATCAACCAAATTGTTTTGCCTATCCACCCCATGGTGCCAAACCCATATGCTCTCCTATCTTCAATATCTCCCTCTACTACCCATTATTCTGTTCTGGATCTCAAACATGCTTTCTTTACTATTCCTTTGCACCCTTCATCCCAGCCTCTCTTTGCCTTCACTTAGACTGACCCTGACACCCATTAGGCTCAGCAAATTACCTGGGCTGTACTGCCGCAAGGCTTCACAGACAGCCCCCATTACTTCAGGCAAGCCCAAATTTCATCCTCATCTGTTACCTATCTCGGCATAATTCTCATAAAAACACACGTGCTTTCCCTGCTGATCGTGTCTGATTAATCTCCCAAACCTCAATCCCTTACAAAACAACAACTCCTTTCCTTCCTAGGCATGCTTAGTGCGGTCAGAATTCTTACACAAGAGCCAAGACTGCACCCTGTAGCCTTTCTGTCCAAACAACTTGACCTTACTGTTTTAGCCTAGCCCTCATGTCTGCGTGTAGTGGCTGCCGCTGCTTTAATACTTTTAGAGGCCCTAAAAATCGCAAACTATGCTCAACTCACTCTCTACATTTCTCATAACTTCCAAAATCTATTTTCTTCCTCACACCTGACACATATACTTTCTGCTCCCGGCTCCTTCAGCTGTACTCACTCTTTGTTAAGTCCCACAATTACCATTGTTCCTGGCCCGGACTTCAATCCGGCCTCCCACATTATTCCTGATACCACACCTGACCCCCATGACTGTATCTCTCTGATCCACCTGATATTCACCCCATTTCCCCATATTTCCTTCTTTCCTGTTCCTCACCCTGATCACGCTTGATTTATTGACGGCAGTTCCACCAGGCCTAATCGCCACACACCAGCAAAGGCAGGCTATGCTATAGTACAAGCCACTAGCCCGCCTCTTAGAACCTCTCATTTCCTTTCCATCGTGGAAATCTATCCTCAAGGAAATAACTTCAGTGTTCCATCTGCTATTCTACTACTCCTCAGGGATTATTCAGGCCCCCTCCCTTCCCTACACATCAAGCTCGAGGATTTGCCCCCACCCAGGACTGGCAAATTAGCTTTACTCAACATGCCCTGAGTCAGGAAATTAAAATACCTTAGTCTAGGTAGACACTTTCACTGGATAGGTACAGGCCTTTCCTACAGGGTCTGAGAAGGCCACCACAGTCATTTCTTCCCTTCTGTCAGACATAATTCCTCAGTTTAGCCTTCCCACCTCTATACAGTCTGACAGCAGACCAGCCTTCATTAGTCAAATCAGCCAATTAGTTTTTCAGGCTCTTAGTATTCAGTGAAACCTTTATATCCTTTCCGGTCCTCCATCTTCAAGAAAAGTAGAACAGACTAAAGGTCTTTTAAAAACACACCTCACCAAGCTCAGCCACCAACTTAAAAACGACTGGACAATACTTTTACCACTTTCACTTCTCAGAATTCAGGCCTGTCCTCAGAATGCTACAAGGTACAGCCCATTTAAGCTCCTGTATAGATGCTCCTTTTTATTAGGCCCCAGTCTCATTCCAGACACCGGACCAACTTAGACTGTGCCCCCAAAAAAACTTG
Source organism: Homo sapiens (assembly GCF_000001405.40). Taxonomy (NCBI): domain Eukaryota; kingdom Metazoa; phylum Chordata; class Mammalia; order Primates; family Hominidae; genus Homo; species Homo sapiens. Next base: position 124,753,562 of record NC_000003.12, on the reverse strand, counting down.
TCATCCCTACTATTTTCTGTCTAGTCATATTCCTATTCTCCGTTCTCAACTACTCATACATGCCCTGCTCTTGTTTACACTGCCAGTTTACACTGTTTCTCCAAGCCATCACAGCTGATATCTCCTGGTGCTATCCCCAAACCGCCACTCTTAACTCTTGAAGTAAATAAATAATCTTTGCTGGCAGGACTATGCTGAATCTCCTTAGGCACACTCTAATCAGATGTCCTAGGTCCTCCTAATTCTTAGACCTTTTATACCTGTTTTTCTCCTTCTTATTCCATTTAGTTTTTCAATTCATACAAAACCGTATCCAGGCCATCACCAATCATTCTATACGACAAATGTTTCTTCTAACAACCCCACAATATCACCCCTTACCACAGGATCTCCTTTCAGCTTAATCTCTCCCACTCTAGGTTCCCACACCGCCCCTAATCCCGTTTGAAGCAGCCCTGAGAAACATCGCCCATTCTCTCTCCACACCACCCCCCAAAAATTTTCGCCACCCCAACACTTCAACACTATTTTATTTTTCTTATTAATATAAGAAGGCAGGAATGTCAGGCCTCTGAGCCCAAGCCAAGCCATCGCATCCCCTGTGACTTACACGAATATGCCCAGATGGCCTGAAGTAACTGAAGAATCACAAAAGAAGTGAAAAGGCCCTGTCCCACCTTAACTGATGACATTCCACCATTGTGATTTGTTCCTGCCCCACCTTAATGGAGTGATTAACCCTGTGAATTTCCTTCTCCTGGCTCAGAAGCTCCCCCACTGAGCACCTTGTGACCCCCGCCCCTGCCCACCAGAGAACAACCCCCTTTGACTGTAATTTTCCATTACCTTCCCAAATCCTATAAAACGGCCGCACCCCTATCTCCCTTCGCTGACTCTCTTTTCGGACTCAGCCCGCCTGCACCCAGGTGAAATAAACAGCCGTGTTGCTCACACAAAGCCTGTTTGGTGGTCTCTTCACATGGACTCCAGTGAAACTTTCCATTAGGGAGACACAACAGGTTGGCCTGGCAGGATTTCATATCAGGGAGGCCCCAGGTATGAGCTGACATGCACTGGTTGGCATTCATGTCCTGACACATGATCATAAAAAATTTTTTTAGAAAACGTGGGTGATGAGCTGCACTGCACCTTAAGGACCCAGGAGGATGGGAAGCCAGGGATACTTGGGTTTCCCTCCCACTCAGCACCTTTTCTTAGGGTCTCTTTTCAGCTCAAGCCACAAGGACTGTAGGCGTGATTTCAGTTGGGAGACATCCCCCATTGGATGGCACTGGAGTTGAAGAGGGGAAGAAGGCAATAGAAGTGAGGAAGAGGTAATGCTATAGCCCAAGAAGAGAGCACAGGCGCTTGGGGAAGTCAGAGGGCAGCAAGATGGTGGGAGTGAGGGAAGTGTCAACAGAAATAGTGGAACTCTGTAAATATTTGAAGAGATTTATTTTGAGCCAAATATGAGTGACCATGGCCCATGACACAGCCCTCAGGAGGTCCCAAGAACATGTGCCCAAGGTGGTCAGGGTACAGCTTGGTTTTATACATTTTAGACAGGCATGAGACATCAATCAAATGCATTTAAGAAATGCATTGGTTTGGTCCTGAAAGGCAGAACAACTCAAAACCAGGGGCAGGGTGGCAGGGTGGCGGGGCGGGGGGGCGCGGGGGGGGGGAAGGGTGAGGTGGGGCTTCCAGGCTATAGGTTAATTCAAACATTTTCTGGTTGACAACTGGTTGAGTTTGTCTAAAGACCTGGGATTGATAGAAAGGGAATGTTCAGGTTAAGATTGCGGAGACAAAAGTCTTATAAGTGGCTGCCCTTAGAGACAATAGATGACCGATGTTTCCTATTCAGATCTTAGTTAGTATCTTTAGGATTGGGAGAGTCTGTAAGATAAAGATCTAGCTATGTTAATAGAGATTCCTTACAGATGCTAATTTCCCCCCACAAAGAACAGCTTTGCAGGGCCATTTCAAAATATGGCAAATAAACATATTTGGGGGTAAAATATTTTGATTTTCTTCCTTGTCTCATAAGGTTATACCAGAGTGAGGCTGGAAAATAAGTCATGATATGTAGGGTTAAATAAAACCCATCTGATAAAAATTTATGACTTGTAGGGCATGACTCCCCAGACCCCTTAGATAGGAATGTGGGCAAGATTTAAAAAAAAAAAAATCCTCTCCCTTTCCCTCTCCCTCTCCCCTCTTTCCACGGTCTCCCTCTGATGCCGAGCCGAAGCTGGACTGTACTGCTGCCATCTCGGCTCATTGCAACCTCCCTGCCTGATTCTCCTGCCTCAGCCTGCCTAGTGCCTGCAATTGCAGGCGCGCACCGCCACGCCTGACTGGTTTTCGTATTTTTTGGGTGGAGACGGGGTTTCGCTGTGTTGGCCGGGCTGGTCTCCAGCTCCTAACCGTGAGTGATCCGCCAGCCTCGGCCTCCCGAGGTGCTGGGATTGCAGACGGAGTCTCCTTCACTCAGTGCTCAATGGTGCCCAGGCTGGAGTGCAGTGGCGTGATCTCGGCTCGCTACAACATCCACCTCCCAGCAGCCTGCCTTGGCCTCCCAAAGTGCCGAGAGTGCAGCCTCTGCCCCGCCGCCACCCCGTCTGGGAAGTGAGGAGCGTCTCTGCCTGGCCGCCCATCGTCTGGGATGTGAGGAGCCCCTCTGCCTGGCTGCCCAGTCTGGAAAGTGAGGAGCGTCTCTGCCCAGCCGCCACCCCATCTAGGAAGTGAGGAGCGCCTCTTCCCAGCCGCCATCCCATCTAGGAAGTGAGGAGCGTCTCTGCCCGGCCGCCCCGTCTAAGTGAGGAGACCCTCTGCCTGGCAACCGCCCTGTCTGAGAAGTGAGGAGCCCCTCCGCCCAGCAGCCGCCCCGTCTGAGAAGTGAGGAGCCCCTCCGCCCGGCAGCCACCCCGTCTGGGAAGTGAGGAGCGTCTCCGCCCGGCAGCCACCCCATCCGGGAGGGAGGTGGGGGGGTCAGCCCCCCGCCCGGCCAGCCGCCCCATCCGGGAGGTGAGGGGCGCCTCTGCCCAGCCGCCCCTACTGGGAAGTGAGGAGCCCCTCTGCCCGGCCAGCCGCCCCGTCCGGGAGGGAGGTGGGGGGGTCAGCCCCCCGCCCGGCCAGCCGCCCCGTCTGGGAGGGAGGTGGGGGGGGTCAGCCCCCCGCCCGGCCAGCCGCCCCATCCGGGAGGTGAGGGGCGCCTCTGCCCGGCCGCCCCTACTGGGAAGTGAGGAGCCCCTCTGCCCGGCCAGCTGCCCCGTCTGGGAGGGAGGTGGGGGGGGTCAGCCCCCCGCCTGGCCAGCTGCCCCATCCGGGAGGGAGGTGGGGGGGTCAGCCCCCCGCCGGGCCAGCCGCCCCATCCGGGAGGTGAGGGGCGCCTCTGCCTGGCCGCCCCTACTGGGAAGTGAGGAGCCCCTCTGCCCGGCCAGCCGCCCCGTCCGGCCAGCCGCCCTGTCCGGGAGGTGGGGGGGGGTCAGCCCCCCGCCTGGCCAGCCGCCCCGTCCCGGAGGGAGGGGGGGTCAGCCCCCCGCCCGGCCAACCACCCCATCCGGGAGGTGAGGGGCGCCTCTACCCGGCCGCCCCTACTGGGAAGTGAGGAGCCCCTCTGCCCGGCCACCACCCCGTCTGGGAGGTGTATCCAACAGCTCATTGAGAACGGGCCATGATGACAATGGCAATTTTGTGGAATAGAAAGGGGGGAAACGTGGGGAAAAGATTGAGAAATCGGATGGTTGCCGTGTCTGTGTAGAAAGAGGTAGACATGGGAGACTTTTCATTTTGTTCTGTACTAAGAAAAATTCTTCTGCCTTGGGATCCTGTTGATCTGTGACCTTACCCCCAACCCTGTGCTCTCTGAAACATGTGCTGTGTCCACTCAGGGTTAAATGGATTAAGGGCGGTGCAAGATGTGCTTTGTTAAACAGACGCTTGAAGGCAGCATGCTCGTTAAGAGTCATCACCACTCCCTAATCTCAAGTACCCAGGGACACAAACACTGCGGAAGGCCGCAGGGTCCTCTGCCTAGGAAAACCAGAGACCTTTGTTCACTTGTTTATCTGCTGACCTTCCCTCCACTATTGTCCTGTGACCCTGCCAAATCCCCCTCTGCGAGAAACACCCAAGAATGATCAATAAATAAATAAATAAATAAATAAATAAATAAATAAATAAATCAGAGTTTAGTCCTCAGAAGGAAGAACAAAGGATAAGGGAGGAAAGGAGGTCAAAGACTACCTATACCGGTTTTCCTTGAACAAATGCCATGAGGCAAGTTTGAATTTTTAGGCCATCTATTCAGGTTGAAAAGAACCCATATTTTTATGTATATATTTTTTTTAACTCAACATCATCTCTGCTTCAAGTATCTATTCAAGTTGTGGCAGAAAACAACATTGCTAGGTTCCAGGTAAACAAGGACAGCATGTCTTGTTAAATACAATCATTTCAGGATCCTCCCCAAGTCTCACCCTGCAGGGCTGCTAAGTGCAGGGAGACAATGCAGTGTTGGGACATTGGAGGCAGGACTATGGAGCTGTCTGTGCACAAGGGCACCCCCGAAGACATGGTTGTCCTCATGAGAACCTTGGTTGTGCGGCCCGTCCACTTCCCACTGACTGTCCTTACCTGACGATTGAGACTCTCAGGCCCACCAGGTCTGCTTCTCAGCTAACTCCCATGCCCTTTTCAGAAAAACAGGAGAATTCAGCTTCTCTATAATGTTACTCTGGAGCCACAGGAAGCTCAGGCCACCTCAGGCTCTGTCCCAGACACACATGGCCGAGCTGGGGCGAGGGATCTCTGGATCTTCCTGCTCTCCTGGGCTCCCCCCAACCCCAGCGCTGAAAAACATGACACAGACCTCCTCTGCTGACAGTTCCCCACCCTTATTTTGGGTGTCAACTGCCCTTCCTCCCTCCTTCCCTGGGATTCAGCAGCAGCACGTGAGAGCCCACACCAGGATCTGACTCTGAGGAGCCCTCTGCCTCTTGTCTAGAGGAAGACTTTCCCCCTTGGTGGGAAGGAAAGGGCTAGGCAAATGTGCTTCTAAACCAGACTTATGCCAAAACCTTGAACTTTAGAAGTTAAAAAATATTCTAATTATTTTGTTTCTCTTTGTATTTCTATTGCGGCCTTCCTTTGGAAGGGTTATGGGGAAAACAAAGGGATTGCAGGGTAACTCATACAAGGCCAAATTACAAATGTGAAAGGCCCTATGATCTAAGAAAAATATGGCATTCTACATCCTGTAATCCAAAATAAAATCCGCATTTAATAAAACAGCATTGATTATAAAATAAATGTAAAGAACTCCAACAGGCCGGGAGCAGTGGCTCACACCTGTAATCCTAGCACTTTGGGAAGCCAAGGCAGGAGGATCACTTGAGCTAAGGAGTTCGAGACCAGCCTGGGCAATATAGTATTATTTATATATACTATTATATATTATATCTAATATATATAACTGTTAAAATATATATTTTAAAAATATAACTCCAACAAGTCCTGATTTTTCTCATGCTTTGTGTTTAGTATCAGATTCCTTCAAAAAGGAATGCCCTTTCTCATTCAGCCCTGGCACTGAAGACACGATTCATACCCACCTGTTAAGGGGCAAAGGAACCAAGCTGCAGAGAGTCCACAGGGTTACTCATGGTCATTTTCAATGACTGACACTTGGTCCACTGTGTTAAAGTACAGGATTCACACAAGACCAAGCAGCTATTTCGCTGGGAGAGATCGCTGATGCAGCCAGAGGTGATGGTTGGGAAGGCAGAAGACTGGTTCCTGGTGGAGCCCAGTTTTTGTCTTCCTGGTAACCAGGCTGGATCCAGAGAGCTGCAGCAAGTTAAATGTATTTAGCTAGATATTGCCGTGTAATAAACCACCCTGGAACTCCATGGCATGCACTACTAAGCATTTATCACGCTCCCAGGCTTACAGATCAGCTGGGGCTTTCATACATTGGACGGGGGAGGCTGGAGTAGGCTCTGCTCTACTTTCTCTTGCTCTTCAGAAGCCATGGGCTAACCAGGGCATATTCTTCCCATGTGGTGGCAGAAGCCAGAGAGGGGTGAGCAGAAACACGAGAGTTTGGGTTCAGGCTCGGAACTGGTACTGAGTGACTCCCACCCACCGGGTACTTTGGATGAGAACTGCACCCAGGCCAGCATTAGCAGCTAGCTCAGCGGCCAGCACCCTCTGCTGTTGGCTCTCCTGTGGCTGCACCCCTGACAGCCAGGTCTGATGACCCAGATGGCAACCACTGCAACTGGAGTGGTGTGGGCTCTGCTGTCGGGCACACACTGAGTCACAGTGAGAACCTCCTCCACCGTCTCTACAAAAAATTTTAAAAATTAACCAGCTGTGGTGGTGCACGCCTGTAGTTCCAGCCACTCGAGAGGCTCTTGAGAGCTACTTGAGAGTAGTTCCAGCTACTTGAGCGGATCGCTTGAGCCCAAGTCAAGGTTGCAGTGAGCCATGATATACTCCAGCCTGGGCAACAGAGTGAAGACCCTGTATCAAACAAACAAAACAAAACAAAAAACCAGCCCTCGGCCTACTTTTGGCAGATTTTCTTAGAGCTGACTCAGTAGCACAAGGGTGAGTGTTGGGACTGAGATCCACAGGCTGGCTGTGAGACTGAGCATATCCCTTTACGATTCTGGAGCTACACTTTGGGAGCTCTAAAATAAGAGGAAGTGCACCAAATAGTTTCTTAGGTTCCTCCAGTGCGCACGCGCGCGCATGCACACACACACACACACACACACACACACACACACACACACAATCTATGGGCTTATGTTCTACAGAATGCCTCGAGTAGCTGGAGAGGCTGGGGGATGGCGTTCTCCACTCCATCAGTCTCACAGACATTCTGTGCACCCCATGGAGACATGGGGTCCCTATATTCCCCACTAAGACCAGGAGTTACAATGCCCAGAGATCATGTTCTGTAAATATTCCTTGACTGAGAAAGGGTTAAACTATCTAATGCCTCCAAAATACTTCAATGCTGAAGAACAGCGCTTGTATAGCCCAAGTTCTTCTCTGCCTGAATCAACTTGTCCTCTAAAGCTTTGATGCCAGACTGGGATTCTGCTTAGGTAAGAGGCCTGCAGTACTGGGCTGACTCTTCACAATAGAAATACAAATCAGAAACAGATCACTTGAGGCACCCATTAGAAATGCACACGCCCAGGCTGCTGGGCAAACCACAAATCTGCTAACGCAGAAACTCTGATGGTGTGGGGCACAAGGACCTACACTTTCAGTAAGTGGCAGGGGCTGGGTGATTATTTGAGCCTCCTCTCATTTCCCCTCAAATCACCTTAGCAGGGGTCCTGTGAAATAGGGTTCATCAACAGGAACAGTGCCTGCGTCCTGGAGATGGCAGGAGCCCACATTTCTAAAGGACAGGAGCATGTGACTCTTAGCAGGAGGCAGACCTCAAGGCTGTCTCACTGCAGAGGCAGAAATGTGAATAACCAGTGAAGTGGTTCTCAAAGTCCAGTCCCTGCGCAGGCAACCGCAGCATCACCTGGGACCTTTTTGGAAACGCAAATTCTCAAGCCCCATCCCAGAGCTACCCAGAGTCAGAAACGCTGCGGGTGGGGCTGGTACCTGTTTTGACAAGACTCCAGGTGACTCTGATACCTGCTAAAGTGGGAGAACCACTGACACATGGAAGTGACAGCCAGGGAGGTGGGCGCCTGAGACCTCAGCACATCACTCCAAAGGCCTCTCAACATATCACTCCAACACTGAAGACACCTAAGAGATTCCTGCAAGTTTTTGTCAGAAAATTCTTCTCCCCTTCATGACTTTTGGCTTCCCCAGAGTAGCCCTGAGGGCCAACTCCCTTCCTGCTCCTTCTGTGGCCACTTCTTCCTTGAGAGTTGGTCTCTCCCACAGACAGCATTTCCCTGGAGATGCAGCACTGGGGACATGAAGCCCAAATTGGACTTTAGAGCAGAAGCTCTTGAAGTAAAAACTTCAGGAGGGAATATAATAAAAACCTGAGTTAAAAATCCTAGGCTTGTAGTCCCAGCTACTCGGGAGGCTGAGGCAGGAGAACTGCTTGAACCAGAGAGGCAGAAGTTGCAGTGAGCCGAGATCGTGCCACTGAACTCCAGCCTGGGCGACAGTGAGATTCTGTCTCAAAAAAAAAAAAAAATCCTAGGCATTCCTCTGAGTCATTAAAGAACAGTGGGCCATCAGCTGACAAGGGTGGGGAAATGGCTGATCCTGTGCCACTTCCTGCAGGTGGGCCCCAAATGAGAAGGAATGTGAGTGTGCTGGTGCAATGAGCACCGGGACAGCCCTCACCCTGCCCCTGCTCAAACACCACCTTGAATGTGGGCTTTCTCTTTATTATTAATGAAGGCTTACCTCCCCTCTACTAATGACCGTTGGGACAATTATGTGGGATCCTTAAGCAAATACCCAAATGGAATCTTAGACCTCCTAATTGTGAAGTCAGTCACAGGAAGCTGTCACTTGTGTTACTACTGGTCCATAATTGCTGGCTAGGGGAAAAAATGAGCCCAAACCCCAACTCCGGTTGTTGAAATAACAGCCAGATACTAGCTCAGGAGCTGAGCTATAGTCACCTTCCCCTTCCCCACCTTCCCCTCTTTGGAGAGTGAGCAATGGCAGTTCTGGGAACCAGCCCATGTGGATACCTGGACTATCACTTTTAGGCCAGAGATGGAGGGGAATGGCTAACAATTAGGTATTATTTGGGCAACACATTAGACAGAGAATACAGGACACAAGAAAAGCTGTGCTGACTTTAGCCTCTTGGTGCCCTAGAATTTTTGTCTTACTGCAATTAGGCTGGGCACAGTGGCTCACACCTGTAATCCCAGCACTTTGAGAGACTGAGGCAGGAGGATCGCTTGAGCCCAGGAGTTGAGACCAGCCTGGGTAACATGGCAAGACCTCATCTCTACAAATAATAAAGAAATTTAGATGGACGTGGTGGTGCATGCCTATAGCACCAGCTAATCTGGAAGCTGAGGTGGGAGGATCACCTGGGAGGTCGAGGCTGCAATGAGCCGTGATCTCACCACTGCACTCCATCCTGGGCAACAGAGTGAGATCCTGTCTCGAAAAAAATTAAAAAATAAATAGAATAACAAAGCAGTCTAGTCCCATGGAGAGATAGGAAGGATCCTCAAATGTGGAAGACCCTAACCCAGACAGGACTGTGGCTGTCTAACAAACACCAGTCTCAAAAAAAGCAAGCTTAAGAATGAACTTATTATAGTATCAATGCGGTGATTACAAATTACTCAATATTTCCTAAAGACCATGAGAACTCCAGAACCCATTCTTACACAGGCCCTGTGGAAGAATCCAAGCAGGAATAATTGGATTATTTCCAGCCAGTGACTTTCAGGAGGACCACATATCTTCAATGTCTTCACATTGTATCTGAAAAATGTATCTGAAGCACTCAAACACCAAGTCTACTCAAATACGCTTCCCAAGCAGCTTTTCTGTACATCTCTGCTGCTTCCAGACGATCAGCTGCTGAGATTATGCCACGACCTACAATGATGATATCGGAACCTCGTTTGCCAATAACTTCTTGTGGGCTATTGTACTGTTGGCCAAGATTATCTCCTGCAAGAAACACAAAAATTGTTGTTTCACATAATACAAAAATCAGAAAACCTGTCACATGACTTCTCTGAAAAAGTATCTAACCAGCTTTAAATAAAAACATGCCCCTACTTTCGTTCCCCTTTTGTACAGCAACTGCGTAAAAACAGGAGCTGAAGAGACTCACTGGGTAGGCCAGAGACGTCAAATGGAGAAAGATGATCACCAACTCCTTTTCAATGGTAAAGTTTATTTTATTTATTTATTTATTTATTTATTTTTATTTATTTATTTTTTTGAGACGGAGTCTCGCTCTGTCACCCAGGCTGGAGTGCAGTGGTGCTATCTCGGCTCACTGCAAGCTCTGCCTCCCAGGTTCATGCCATTCTCCTGCCTCAGCCTCCCGAGTAGCTGGGACTACAGGCGCCTGCCACCACGCCTGGCTAATTTTTTGTATTTTTTAGTAGAGATGGAGTTTCACCGTGTTAGCCAGGATGGTCTCGATCTCCTGACCTCATGATCCGCCCGCCTCAGCCTCCCAAAGTGCTGGGATTACAGGCATGAGCTACTGCGCCCCGCCCTATTTATTTATTTATTTTTTTGAGACAGAGTCTTGCTCTGTCACCCAGGCTGGAGTGCAATGGCACAATCTCAGCTCGCTGCAACCCCCGCCTCCCGGATTCAAGCGATTCTCCTGCCTCAGCCTCCCGAGTAGCTGGGATTAAAAGCGTGCACCACCACGCCCGGCTAATTTTTGTATTTTGAGTAGAGACAGGGTTTCACCATGTCGGCCAAGCTGGTCTTGAACTCCTGACCTCAGGTGATCTGCCCACCTCGGCCTCACAAAGTGCTGGGATTACGAGCGTGAGCCCCCGCACCCAGCCTTATTTATTTTATCATTATTTTTTCATGTAATTTTTTTCCAGAAGCATAAATTCAAGTTGCCCTAAATATTCACCCCCTCAATGTCAAATTTTAGATCATCTGTAGCTTAACAATATATTAAAAAAAGAAGTAAAACTCATATGTTGCAAAGAAAGGTTCAATATCAAAAAAATACAATAAAGATTGGCCTCACAATTGAAGAAAATTTTAGCACACATCTTAGAATCACCACAAGGCACTGCTGAGCAAGTCTAACCTGACCACTACCATATACAAGAACCCCATCAAGTGGTCACACAGACTATCCATAAACCCGAATCCTTAAATTTTGCTTTTTTATTAAATTCCGCTGTTTCAGAAGCATTCTGTTAAATGGCTTATTATCTTCCAAATCCAAGATACTTTAAGTATTCTTAAAAGCCTAGACCCTAACTATAATATCTAGTCAAACAATTATTAGGGCTTACGAATAAGGGCTTATAAGTACAGAGTGTTTACTCTGTGCCAAGACATTGTGTTAAATATTCTACATGTTATCTCATTAAAGCATCTTGATTACCTTATGAGGTCAATACTGTTATCATCCCCATTTTACAGACAATTAGACTAAAAGAAGTAAACTGACTTGTCCAAAGATACATAGTTACCAAAGGGCTCATTCATTATTGTTCTAGACTAAGAAGGCTTTTCTTAAGCAAGTGTATAATAATATGCAAAGTTTTATTTTGCCTGCCATGGGTAAAGAAGCATTTTTGGAAGAGCCACGACCAGTGACCAGATTTACCTCCTGCTTCCAACTGAACTCCTGGAGTCAAGTGAAGAAATTCTGGTTTCATGCTTACTCGGGAGCCAGAAATAAAACCAACAACAAATTCAGAGTGCTCCTCAGCCATTCTAACCTAAATGGAATGTAATAGGACATATTATAAGAAAACAGTTAATCACACAGAATAAAAGTAAAAATATGCTCTATTTTTTCAAAACTTAAAAAAAAAAAAAAAAGACATGAGGTCTCCCTATGTTCCCTGGCTGGTCTTGAACCCCTGGGCTCAAGGGATCCTCCTACCTTGGCCTCCCAAAGTGCTGGGGTTACAGTTGTAAGTCACCATGCCTGGCTTATGCTCTATTATCTAGTTAGAAACTTTGCTGTATTATAGATGCCTTTTCTCATTCCATATATATAAAGTTACTATATCTGAAACAGGTCATCTTAGATAGAAACCATAATAAAACACATCTGCTTCATTAAGACTCTGAGATGACCCTTTCCCTTCCCTTCCCGCAATAAACCATACGTAAAGCAGAAATCCTATACTATATGCATCTAAAATCAAGATGCTGCATAATTTCTTATTTCTAATAATGCTTGGTGACCCACCTACTTCCAAAAAGGATTTGAGGCGAGTACTCTAGAACATATTATAATGGTATGAAACCACATTCAAGGCTTACTGACTATCTACAGACGGGGTACTCCATATCCAAAGGCAGCTGTCATGTAAAGAACAGCTACGCTTTCAAGAGCTAAAGAAATCTCACCTCTACCACTTTCCCTCTTCTGTAACATCAACTGGTCTCCCCAATTTCTATACTATTATCTCACATTCATAAAAGTCTCTTTAGAAGGTCTGCCTGGCTTTCTGATTCGGTAGGTACTTTCCCCGAGACGTGACTCCCATACTTCCCTTCTTATTTGATACTTCCCGGAGACCAGACTCAGTACCACCACTGCACTCCAGCCTCGGTACTTCGAGACCTGAGACACACATTGATACATTCATTCTTGCCACCAAGTACTACTGCCAACAAACAAGTCATGTCTTGTCCTTGAGCCAGACCCAGACTCCCAGAATGCCAAATATTAAAACTGACTCATGGCCCCTGTGATTTTGAGACTTGGGAAATCAGACAGTTATAGTCAATTCAGGGATAGGGTTAAAACCTGACTGTAGGGCCATATGAGTTAAGTCTCCAAATAGTCTGAAATAATATGAAAAAATGGAAATCCTTTACTTCTAGAATCTTCACATGGGGATTGTCTTGGGGATTTCATTTTTAAAAAAATCATGGGGATTTTCTTGGGGCTTTTTATTTTTAATTTTTTTTGACAGGCTCTTACTCTTGCCCAGGCTGAGGTAAAGTGGCATGATCATGGCTCCCTGCAGCCTTGAACTTCAAGCTCAAGCGATCCTCCCACCTCAGCCTCCCAAGCAGCTGGGACTATAGGCACGTACCACCATGCCTGGTTATTTTCTTTTTCATTTTTTTGTAGAGACGAGATCTCACTATGACGTCCAACTCCTGGCCTCAAGCAATCCTCCCGCCTTGGCCTCCCAAAGTGCTAGGATTACAGGTGTGAGCAACTGCGCCCAGCCCCCTATGGCAATTTTTTTAAAGTAATATTATATTCTAAAATATCTGACAAGAATAAGAGAAAGCCACTGCATGTGGGCTGCTGTCATGGGAATGTGCATCTCTGTAGGACTTGGGAGATTCTGAGAAACTGCATGTCTGGGAAGCTCTTCTCATCTTCTCTCAATTCATGGTAAGATGAAAAAGACATTATCTTAAAGTCCTGGTAGATTTAGTAAGTGTTTGTTTGACTAACTATCTGGGTCTCAAAGTTTCTCTTGGAGTATAATTCAAATTCCTGAAGTGTCCACTACATGATATAAAATGCTATTAACTATCAAGGAATTCTATCCAACTAGTATTAATATACTGTCACACTAACAAGAGCTGGATTTTTTTTTTGGCAGAGGTTCCAGAAACGCCAGATTAGGAGATATCTTCTTGCAGCATGCAGCATAGCAGCCCCTGCCCCCTCTCACCCAGTCCCCCCACCACTTACCGCTGCTCTAGTGTAGTCCCCAGTGGCCAGGGAGCCGGTGGAGCTCATTTCCGCAATAAGGAGGCACCCCCGATGCAAAGGCAGGCCCACTTCTTGCAGGCCTTTCACAACTCCTGAGCCTGGCACCACGTGAGCATTTACTAGATCTGCCCAGGAAGCTATTTTAAAGATACCTCCTAAGAAGAAGGGGGAAAAAAGATATTTGCTGATTTTCAAACAAAACCTCTAACGTCTTGTCCAACCAACCAACTACAATATGAAATAATCTCCCAGTAACATGTTAATGAGAGAATCAAAACTCTTCAGGAACTTTAGTGATTATCAGCAGACCCATGGTTCCATCTGTGAAAACTGTATCTGTTATTCAGGTAAGTAGCTGGGTGAGAGATCACAATGAGAAAAAACTTTCAAGGTCTGCACTTGGCTTATCTGGAACACTAACAGGACTCTTTTTCCTTGAAGGCTGAAGCTCATGACCACAAATAAAGCTCATGCTATTAGAAAGGGACTCCAGTGAAGATAAACATTTATTGATGTCAAGGATAACATTTAAAAATTCCTCTTGAAGCTGGGCATGGTGGCTCATGCTTGTAATCCCAGTACTTTGGGAGGCTGAGGTGGGCAGATTGCTTGAGTTTAGGAGTTCGAGACCAGCCTGGGCAACATGGCAAAACTCCATCTCTACCAAAAATACAAAAAAATTAGCTAGGTGTGGTGGCGCATGCCTGTGGTCCCAGCTACTTGGGAGGCTGAGGTGGGAGGATCACTTGAGCCCAGGAGGTGGAGGTTGCAGTGAGTCAAGATTGCACCACTGCACTCCAGCCTGGGCGACAGAGCAAGACCCCATCTCAAAAAAAATAATAATAAAAATAAAATTCTTCTTGAAGATGACAAGTTTTCACTCTGCAGGGGTCTCTCAGCAGCTTTACTATCGCTCAATATTTCTACGTGTTCCTTAGATCTCCTTAGCTATCTAATTTCAATAGGCAACTATATTCCTTTTAAAAGCGGACAGTAACAAGCCTGATTTTCGAAAAAACTCTATGCAGAGCTGAAGAAAGTTTGTATAAAACTCTTATGTCAGTCAATCAGCTAAAGTAAGCTAGGCAATGTGATGAGGGCAGGACATCTTAAGCACATGAAGAAGTCACTTAAAGACAAATCTATTTTAAAGAAATAGCTTATGAACATGCATACATTAAAGAAAAGTTACCTCAAAGATGCCTACAAAAAATGTTATATGACACAACCAAATATCTGTTACCAGGTTAAGTGAAAAATGCATTAAATATAGTCTGATCACACAGTTGTAAAAACATAGACAGAAATTTGCATAGAATAGGCAGTAGAACTAAGCATTTTTCTCAACCAACACATGCACTACTTTGAGTCCCTATTTGATAAAAGAAAAATCTTTAAATAATGTTTATCAATAGAACTTTTTCTGCTACAAATAAATCTTACCATTTTATATTTCTTTTTCATTGTTTCCTTTATGTGGAATTTTCATTCAAAACATCATATTCTGCCAAGGACATCTGTCAAATTTGCTTGCCCAGGCACATACCCTTCTTCTGGTACTAGCACATCCATTTTCTTTAAGGAAATTATCCCTGACTGGTTCTTATTTCAAGAAGGTCATACAGAGTTAACAACCTCACAGTTGCAGAGCAAATTGCCCAGGCTAGTTAATGAAGGTATTCTACATCCCAAGCTAGAGTGATTGGTTTGGGGTGAGCATGCAGAGTATGCCTACCTGAGAAAGAAGTCAACAGAGAAGAAAGCAGAGCTGAGAGATGGAGAGAAAGCAAGTCATGAAGATATCACTTGAGCTCCTGGATCCAACCACGCTTGACAGCCTGCTCTATGAATGGACTTTCAATGACATGAGCATTTCCTTTTTCTTCTTCAGTTTAAGCTGGATTTCTGATTCTTGCAGATTCCTGAATAATACACTTACCTTCATACTGCTTTTTCACTGTGTTTCCTATATCTGCAAACTTCCGGTCTTCAAATATCAAGAACTCATGGCATTTTGCCAGAGTTATCAACTCCTTCATCACATCCAGAGTAAAATCATTCAAAATATCTACATGAGTCTTCAGCATGCAGATACTAGGTCCTAAAGCATCTGCTAGCTGCAACAGCTCTCTGGCCAGTGAAACATCAGCAGATAGACACAGATTGGTCTCCTTCTTTTGCATAAGCCTGAGAAGCTTCGATGCAACTGGGTGGATCCTGGGCAGCTCTGCACGTGCACCGAAGCTGAGTTCTTTGGGTGCTTCCTTTATAGAAAGGGGAGAACCATTATGATTCGCTGCCACAAAGACATTCTCCTGAATAAACCTCTTCACTCTCCCAACTGTCTCAGCATCAACTTTTTTCTGCTGCTCGAGAATCTCCAGCATTTTGGACAATGTACACACTGAGTGGAGGCGGATCCCGTGCGCCTGCAACTTGTCCTTGCCTCCCTGCTCTCTGTCCAACAGCACTATGGCATCAGTGACCTTCAAGCCCTCCTTCTGAAGAACCTCAACAGTTTCCAAAACACTAGATCCACTGGTGACAACATCTTCAATGATTAAACAGGTTTCTCCTGGATTAATAGTTCCTTCTACAAGACGCTTAGTTCCTAGAAAAGAAAAAATTTTGCTGATTCCAAATTTAAATATGTATGTATATGTGCGTATATACGTACACACACTCTGTATACAAAACTTGCCAGTTACACATACAGTATATGTGTATACCAATTCTGTATACCAAACTTGCTAGTTGCACATACAGTATATTTATGTATAAAGCCAACTCTGTATACCAAACTTGCCAGTTACACATACAGTATATTTATAGTAAATCAAGTAAATTATTTCACATTATAAACACTGCTTAATGTGTTTTATGATCAAATTTTCAAATAGAGAGGTTTTTTTTTTACTTTAAAAAAATCTGTTTTATCATAGAGATGAGGTCTCACTATGTTGTCTAGGCTGGTCTTGAACTCCTGAGCTCAAGTGATCCTCCCGCCTCAGCCTCCCAAAATGCTAGGATTATAGGTGTGAGCCACCACGTCCAGCCTAAATACAGAGTTTCTTACAGCAAGATCACCTAGATCAAGGAAAGTTATGAAACAGAATAATCCAGTATCATGAATGAAATAATTCCTTTTTCCATCAAAGTATTTTAAGTTCACTATTCAAGATCAGCCAAATAATTGACTTTTTGAAGACACAAATTCAGAAGGAAAAATATTCAGCAATCATTTAGACCCATTACTACAATCTAAAGAATTATATAATGCAATGTGATTAAATATATACTTCTCTACCCAAATCCCACTAGACTATTTTCAGATAATCTACAAAACGTAAATAACTTGGGCTGTAGACTTTAGACTCATCAAATCCTTTCCGCTTCTTGAACAACTGGTAAGTTTAACTGAATCAGCTTAAGCTAGAACACAAGACTGCAAGTATTTATAGTATATTTAAAAATGCATAATTTCATAGAAACAGTTTTTAAAACATAAAATAATAGAAATAAGAGTTTTCTTATGGGTAGGGATTCATACAGTTTTTTTTTAGCTCAGAAAGTCTCAGCTGGGTGCAGTGGCTCACACCTGTAATCCCAGCACTTTGGGAGGATGAGGCAGGAGGATGGCTTGAGACCAGGAGTTCAAGACCAGCCTGGGCAACAGAGTGAGACCTTGTCTCAAAAAAACAAAAAACAAAAACAGAAAAACTAACACTGCCCTTACGCCACAAAAACTCAACTAATATGTTTCTTTTTTTTAATCATAAAAATTTTCAGAATGCATCTGTAGAAGAAGGATTTGTTTTAAAAAAAGTAACAAAACACTAATAAACCAACATAAACAAAAAAGCCCATTAATTCCTTACTATCATTAAGATTGCTTTTCAGGTTTTATTTATTTATTTTTTGACAGTCTTGCTCTGTCACCCAGGGTGCAGTGCAGTGGCATAATCATAGCTCACTGCAACCTTCAGCTCCTGGGCTCAAGGCATCCTCCTGCCTCAGCCTCCCATGTAACTGTGACACTCAGCTAATTTTGTATTCTTTTTTTATTTTTGTAGAGACAAACGTTGCCAAAGCTGGTCTCAAACTCCTGGGCTCAAGCTATCCTCCCACCTTGCCCTCCCAAAGTGCTGGGATTACAAGTGTGAGCCACTGTGCCTGGCCAATTTTCAGGGTTTTTTTTGTTTGAAATAGGGTCTCACTTTGTCGCCCAGGCTGGAGTGCAGTGGCGCAATCTCAGCTCATTGCAACCTCCACCTCCTGGGTTCAAGCGCATCTCCTGCCTCAGCCTCTCCAGTAGCTGGGACTACAGGTGCATACCACCACGCCCAGCTAATTTTTGTATTTTTAGTAGAGACGGAGTTTTACCACGTTGGTCAGGCTGGTCTTGAACTCCTGACCTCAAGTGATCCGCCTACCTCGGCCTCCAAAAGTGCTGGGATTACAGGCGTGAGCCATGGTGCCTGGACAAATTTTCGGGTTTTAAAGCAAGTCACCTGATAATCTATTGCCATGAACCCACAAAAATATCTCTCTGAGGTGTTTACACTGCTTTATGAGAGTAATTTTATCCATGGATTACTTTTCATGAAGTTTAAATACAAACATACTGGGAAAGTATGTGCTGTTACAACATTTTGCTGATGAGGGAAGGGCTGGTAAAAAAAAAAAATGTTGGAGTTTCATAGATACAGTACCAAAAAAAGCACTTTTCATTTCCTAATCAATACAAAGCATTTCACCCCAAGTCTAAAAAAAGGAAGGTGACTTATAGTAACAATTATAAATTCTACAAGCAGTAACAACTTAAAGAACTCAAGATGACTGGTAAAACATTAGTGCACAGAAGCGGAAAAATTCTAAGAGTATGATGTTACAGATTAATTAACTTCATGCTTTATGTTACTTTTATTTTACCATAATCCTTTGTTTCTTTCCTTCTAATAAGCATTGGAATTTGATTGGTTGAACAGATAACTGTAGCCAATGGCAAAGCTGTATAAGGCACTCCACACACGGTGTCAAAACTGATGCCTGCATTTTGGGCAGTTTGGAATAAAATATCTGCAACCTGTAAGAAAATGAACACATAAACAATGTTTTATTGTAACTATTTTATTTTATTTTATATTTTTTATTTTTTGAGATGGAGTCTCGCCCTGTTGCCCAGGCTGGAATGCAGTGGTGCGATCTCGGCTCACTGCAACCTCTGCCTCCCAGGTTCAAGTGATTCTCCTGCCCCAGCCTCCCAAGGAGCTGAGATTACAGGCGCGCACCACTACACCCAGCTAATTTTTTTGTATTTTTAGTAGAGATGGGGTTTCACTATGTTGGTCAGGCTGGCCTCAAACTCTTGGCCTTGTGATCCACCTGCCTCGGCCTCCCAAAGTGCTGGGATTACAGGCGTGAGCCACTGCGCCCAGCCTATTGTAACTATTTTAAATAGTGTATAAACATGTAACAACGTAACAGAAAAGACAGTAATAAACTAGTGGGGGTAAGTCTCAAACTTGATTGGAGAAAAAAAAACAAATGCCTTTTTATTACCCTCTCCATAAACCCAGTACACAAATATAAATCTAAAAACACAAGAATGAATCTATTCAACCAGACTCAGAATCTGTTCTGAAGGCAACCTGAGATGTGCTGGGGAAGCTCATGATGTTGACCCCAAAGACTAAGGACGATCCCGACTTCCTGGTTTCCTCAGTAACCCATTAGGCTGAGTATCTAAACCTATCATCTTTTAGTTATATATCCTGAAAGAAGCCTTCAATTAGGAAGTTTCATAAATACAGACTATTGTGTGAATTGCTATTTTATAATCTCCTTTTCCACATAAATCATCATATTTTAATGTTAGGATACATATTCCCACCCAAGACCACCTCATTTTTTTTTTAAAAAAGCAAACAGTCACTGAGTTGCTTTGTGAACTAGATCATAGGTTTACACCAGTACTTCTAAAGAGTAAAAAAACAAACAAAAAAAAACTATGACTATTTTAAGTTGCAGAGAATGTAATTTCTAGTACTAAAAATATTAACATATTATCTTAGAACTGTTTTATCACTCTTTTTAAGGAATAAACTTGGAATACAAATGCTAGTGACTGGATATCCACCATCTCCATTTAAAAAAACAAAACGTGAAATTGCTGGACTATGAAAAGTTTAAAATTTTTTACATCTTTTTCCAACTCATATTTTCACTCCACTGTGTCCACAGAATTTTATTCTAAAGTAATATATGATTATACTTGAAAAGCTTTTACTGATCCCTCTGTCATACTTGTCTATATGTATGTAAACTGAAATTTAAAATGGTAATTAAAAAAAAATTTCCCATGACCATAAGTCTCTAGATGTCAAGAATTCTTCTGTAGCTCTCTCAGGTCCTTACTTCCAAGATGACAAAGAAAAGAAAGGAACAATGATCGTGCCAAAAAGGGCTGTGGCCAGTAGTGGCACATACTATGTCCGATGCATGCCCAAGGAAAAGACCATTAAGAAGCTCGTCGTGCAAAACATAGTAGAGGCCGCAGCAGTCAGGGACATTACTGCAGTGAGCAACTTTGCCTCCTATGTTCTTCCCAAGCTGTATGCGAAGCTACATTAAGGTGTGAGTTGTGCCATTCACAGCAAGGCAGTCAGTAATCCATCTTGTGAATCCCACAAGGACCAAATACCCCAATCTGATTTAAACCTGTGGGTGCTGCCTCATGACCCTCACCAAAGCCCATGTAAGGAGCTGAATCCTTAAGGACTGAAGAGAAACTATTCTCTTGAGGAAAAGAAAATGGAAATTGTACTTTTTAAAGAAGAGAATTCTTCTGTATATCATTAAATTATAACAAGCATATGATTAATTCAAACATGATTTGCAAATTTTGACAGAGAGATAAAAACAGATTTGGAAAATGCATTTTTAGTGAGTTAATGCTACCTTTCCTCTCCAATTACTTTATGTACACTAATGTGTATATAGTACTATAGTCAAATATCACTTATTATCACTTATTAAGGGAAGTTAGAGTTTAGCATAAATTATATTGCTTTTTGGGGTGTAAATACTGAGAAATTCTATTCGCATAAGATGTGAAAAGAAGTTTTGTTATACCCAAGTCTCTCCATGTTTTGAACTCCTCCCCAGTTAATCACCAAAATACACACACACACACACACACACACACACACCATGATCTAGTTATCAAAAAACTTTTTCTGTCATTTATCAGCTGGCTTATTAAAATAAATCAATTTTTCCCTAGAAAATCCTTAGTAATTCTCCACATTGCTAAGATACACCATAGCAAGATTCTGGATGGTGAGAAGTTAATGGTCCAAAGTACCGCAACCTTAATAGTCCAACCTATCTTCAATACTTTTTACAATAACCACACAAAGTGGTCCCTAGTGAACATAAACCCTTAAGTGGGCTGAGGAAACTTATATGTCTTCTTGATAGAACTTTCTGCAATGATGGAAATGTTCTCTATCTTTGCAGTCCAATATGATAGCCACTGGCCATATATGACTATTTAAACTTAAAAATTCATAATGCTCAATAGTAACACGTGGCTAGTAGCAAACTGTATTGGAAAGCATATTTACGGCCCTCTACTCAGTGTGGTCTGCAGTTTCAGCTGGCACTTTGTTAGAAATGCACAACCTCAGGTCTAGTCTCAGAGCTACAGAAATGGATTCTGCATTTTAACAAAATTCCCAGGTAATTCATATATACTCAAAGTTGAGAAGCACTGTATTAGAAACCTCTAATTTGTACAAAAATTTTCCTTATATTGACTAAAAACCTGCTTTCCCAATATGTCCACCTTCTAGTCTTAATTATTGCTTCTGGCCGCACAGTGCAAAATTCAACTCCCCTTTCCAAACAGCCCTTCCAAGTGTGGACCTAACAGGAAGAGGCTGAGGCAAAATTAATATGAGTAGTTGCCCTGACTATAGGCTTCGATTACAGTAGTTACAAGTGGATTTTTAAAGCAAAAGAAGGGGCAGTTCCTATATTCACCAAGAATTTGCATTGAAATAACAGGAGGTAGCCCGGGGGTGGCACCAGGCATTTGTAGTCCCAGCTACTTGGGAAGCCGCCAAGGCAAGAGGATCTTTTGAGGCCAGGAGTTTGAGACGAGCCTGGGCAGTATGGTGAGACCTCCTCTCTACAAAAAAAAAAAATTTTTAATTTGGTGGGCATGATGGCACATGCCTGTAGTTCCAGCTACTCAGAGGTTGAGGTAAGAGGATCTCTTTTTTTTTTTTTTTTCTGAGACAGTCTCCCTCTGTTGCCCAGGCTGGAGTGCAGTGGCTCAATTTCGGCTAACTGCAACCTCCTGATTCTTCTGCCTCAGCCTCCTGAGTAGCTGGGATTACAGGTGTGCACCACCATGCCCAGCTAATTTTTGCATTTTCAGTAGAGACAGGGTTTCACCATGTTGGCCAGGCTGGTCTCGAACTCCAGACCTTAAGTGATCCACCCGCCTCAGCCTCCCAAAGAAAGCCTCCCAAAGTTGGGACTACAGGCATGAGCCCCTGTGCTCACCCGAGGCAAGAAGATCTCTTAAGCCCAGGAGTTCCAGGCTGCAGTGAGCTATGATCACAGAGCTGCACTCCAGCCTGGGTGACGTAAGAGAGATCCCATCTAAAAAATAAATAAATAAAATAATAACACAAGCGATTGATTAGCTATACATTGTTCTTTGTATCACACATTCCAGGTACATTAAGATAATGGGAGAGGCAGCTAGTCAGGGACAAAATTCCTTTAAATAATTGTCCCGGGGCTGCATAGGGGAGTATGGTTGAAGTCTCTCTGGGCTCTGATAAATTTTGTATACATCACAGAGTTCTGGTTGTTCTATTTTCCTTTTCTCACCAGTAATTTCCCAGCTACTGAATTCTCTGCCTACCCACGTTTTCCCGGTCTATTTGTTTGTTTTTTGAGGGCAGGGTCTCACTTGTCGCCCAGGCTGGAGTGCAGTGGCGCAATGACAGCTCATTGCAGCCTTGACCTCCCAGGCTCAGGTGATCCTCCCACCTCAGCGTCCCAGGCGTGCGCCACCACACCCAGCTAATTTTTTGTAGAGACGGGGTCTCGTCATGTTGCCCAGGCTGGTCTCGAACTCCTGGGGCTCAGGTGATCTGCCCACTTAGGCATCCCAAAGTGCTGGTATTACTCTCATGAGGCACCACGCCCGGCCGCAAGTCTAATTTTCTTAAAGAGTTAAATATACAGAATTCATTCAAGTGTGCTTCAGTGCCAGAAAGCGTTCCAAACTGGGTTTCCCGACTTTTGCAAAACACGTGTCTAAGCGTGTGGGTGAAAGAACAGACGACTCTCGAGGAGCCCAACCCCTGGCCTCTGTGCTTCTCATGCTTACTCCCCAAACCAAGAGTAGGGTCGGTCTGCCTGCTTGGCTCTTTTGCTCTCACTCACGGCCCAACTCCTGTCACCCTCTTCCATTTCCTTGTCCTCCTTCCCGCCACCAAGCCCTGTCCTTTCCCTTCCTAGGCCAGCACCTGACTCAGAAGACGCGGTCGAGACACGATGCCCCGCAGATCGATGTAGATGGGGGAGGAAAGCCCGCTCTTCAGCACGAAGTCCCCAAACTTGAAAGCCTGCACGTCGTACAGACCCGTCACCAATGGCCCCAAAGCTGCACGAGCGACCGCCATTGTCGCGCGCTGCCTGTTTGCTTCAAATTCCCAGGCGCCCCGGGCCTCCGGCGCCCCGATGACGTCACCCGCGAAGTCCCGCCTCTTCCGCCTGCCTCGTCTGCAGCTTTCCCGGCTTGCTGCACCCGTGGGTTTCCCCGGGCTCAAGGGTCAGGTGGATGGTAGCGAACCTAGCGCCAGTTTGTGCTTCTCCTGGTTTCTTCTGGATGGGGTCGCTGGGGTTCAAAGCCCAGAACAGCTAGATTGACTGTAGGATCATGAAGTCCCACCTTTCATGAGAGTTTGCATAAATCCTGTCCATTTTTTAATAGCCAATGCCTTCTCGACTAGTTCTCTTAATTATCTCTACTCCTTGGCCTAACATGTTATATTTGCTAGTTATTAGCCAAGATTTACCCCCCATGTTTCTCCAAATAGAATATAAGTTATCAAAGACAGGGACCTTTACTCAATTCTTTTATTAACTTCATAGCATCTAGTACGTGACAGTTCCATAGCAGTTTGCACATAGGAATATATAGCACTTAGATCATTACAGTATTCATTACCTCTTTTGTCTGTACTCTGCTTCCTGGAGGAGTACTTTTTTATTTCCTTTGGCGTACCTCAAATGCTTAGGTAATAGGTGTAGAAAAGGTAAGGGAGGGAAGGAGGAGAGTTAGAAGACGGTTAATTGATTGGTATCAGGGTTATCCAGGAGGATAATATTGCTAGACAATCTGAAAATCCAAACATATTTGGTCTTTACAAATAAATCCCTTAAAGAAATAATCAATAAATAATCTGTACAAATAAATCCCTTCTCCATTGTGTATATAAGGCAATACTTTATTCTAGCTTAAGGAAAATAACCCTTAAATTCACATAAAGAATGAAACCTTGTCATTTGCAGCAAGGTGGATGAACCTGAAGGACATTATGTTAGTGAAACAAGCCAGGAACAGGAAGATAAATACCAAATGTTCTCGCTCATATGCAGAAGCTAAAAAAGTTGATCTCATGGAGCTAGAGAATAAAATAGTAATCACTAGAGGCTGGGAAGGGTAGGGGGTGGTTAAAGGACACAAATTACAGCTAGATAGGAGGAATAAGTCCTAGTGTTCCATTGCACTGTAGGGTGACTGTAGTCAATAATAATTTACTATATATTTTAAAATAGCTAGAAGAGGGGCGTTTGAATGTTCCCAACACAAAGAAAGGATAAATATTTAAGGTGAGGAATATATGAATTACTCTGATTTGATCACTGTACATTGTGTGTATTGAAATAGCACTATGTACCCAATAAATGTGTACGATATCATGTGTCAACTATAACAAATACTTTTTTAAAAAAGAGGAACAGATAAGGCATAGCTGTATAGTGCACTACAAAGAACATGAAGTTTCAAACCAAAACATTTGGATTTTAGTCCCATTCTACTTACTGGCTGAGTGATCTTTGGCAATGCATTTTGAGCTATATGAGTCTCAATTTTCTCAAAAATAGAATGAAGAAGCCGGGCGCGGTGGCTCACGCCTGTAATCCCAGCACTTTGGGAGGCTGAGGCGGGCGGATCACGAGGTCAGGAGATCAAGACCATCTTGGCTAACATGGTGAAACCCCGTCTCTACTAAAAATACAAAAAAATTAGCTGGGCATGGTGGTAGGCGCCTGTAGTCCCAGCTACTCGGGAGGCTGAGGCAGGAGAATGGTGTGAACCCGGGAGGCAAAGCTTGCAGTGAGCCGAGATCGCATCACTGCACTCCAGGCTGGGCGAAAGAGCCAGACTGCGCTCAAAAAAAAAAAAAAAGAATGAAGATAATAATATTAACTTTCTCCAAAAATCACTATGAAGATTCAATAAGATAGTTCACTCAAAAACACTTGATAAAAAGTTGGTAGAGCTGAGTGTGGTGGCTCATGCCTGTAATCCCAGTACTTTGGGAGGCCGAGGGAAGTGGATCACCTGAGGTTGAGAGTTCGAGACCAGCCCAGTCAACATGATGAAACCCCGTCTCTACCAAAAAATACAAAAATTAGCCGGGCATAGTAGCACATGCCTATAGTCCCAGCTACTTGGGAGGCTGAGGCAGGAGAATTGCTTGAACCCCGAGGGGGTGGAGGTTGCAGTGAGCCAAGATCATGCCACTACACTCCAGCCTGGGCAACAGAGACTCTGTCTCAACAACAACAAACAAACAAACAAACAACAACAACAACAAAAAAAAAAGCAGAGGAACATAGATTGTACCAATTCATTTTGTGTTCTCCATTTCATTTACTTAGGCTGGGTAAAGGATCTTGGCTTTAACCAATATTTAGTCTTACTATTTTAGGTATTTACCCTAAAGAGTTTCCATGAATGTAAAATTTCATGCAGTAGTTCAATCTGAGCCTTTTCATGGACCTAGCTCTATATTGCTTACTGAATCCCTTCTGTATTCTACTCTGATATCTATTTTAGACTGAGCTTGTGGGGTTCTGATTATCATTTGTATTAGGGCTTTTGCTAATATTCCATAACTATATTGGTGATTCCTCTGAACCACTCCCCTTCAAAAAAATATAGGCTGAGGTACTGTTATTTAATTATTTATTATTGTTTGACCTACACTATACACACACAGAGACACTGAAACACACACATACACATTTATTTTAAGTTATGTTCTAGGGCCAGGTCAGTGGCTCATGCCTGCAATCCCAGCACTTTGGGAGGCAGAGATGGGAAGCCCAGGAGTTTGAGACCAGCCTGGGTAACATGATGAGACTCTGTCTCTTCAAAAAATAAAAAAAATTAGCCAGACATCATGGCACACACTTGTGGTCCCAGCTACTGGGGAGGCTGAGGCAGGAATATCACTTGAGCCTGGGAGGTTGAGGCCACAGTGAACTGTGATCATGCCACTGCAGTCCAGCCTGAGTGACAGAGTGAGACCCTGTGCCAAAAAAAAAAAAAAAGTTATCTTCCAGTGAATGTCTCAGTGACCTTGAACAATCACCTAGATTCTGTGACTCAGTTTTCTCTAATCCAAGTAAAATAACTTACTTCATAAGAATTTGTTGGGATTAAATGAAATATTAATTACAAATGGGCTTCATAAGCTATATAGGTGCTAAAATACATACAAATTCTAGATAAAAAAAAAGCCCATAAGGGGCTTATGATTTTAACTCATAAACCTGATTCTGATTTCATTTCTAATATTCTTTATTATCTATATTTTCTCAGGAGATTGTGCTGATGAGCCAATGTGAAGAGCCCATGCTTTTGACAAGTGTTTCTCATTACAAATAAATGCAATAAAATCTTAATGAAATAGAAGCCAAATGTTAAAACATGTTTTTGTTTTCTTGGCAAAATAAGCTAATCAAAACACTTTAACACTCTGGCTAATTGACAGTATACCATGAATCAGCCTCATTTGCACGTGGGTGGCACATTTAAACTTTCAAAGCCTGATCATATCTGTATAGGCTAACCCAAATTGCTGGAGTCCACACCAGAATGTATAAACTTGTGAGATCCAGCCCAAAATACCCTCCAGACAGTCTAACAACATTATCACCTGAAATACCAGTATGAAATTAACAACAACCCGAGGCTTTTTTTTTTTTTTTTTTTTTTTTTTTTTTTTTTTTTTGAGATAGGGTCTGGTCTCACTTTGTTGCCCAGGCTAGAGTGAGGTAGCATAATCACAGCTCACTGTAGCTTCTACCTCCCGGGTTCAGATGATGCTTCCACCTCAGCCTCCCAAGTAGATGGGATCACAGGCATGCACCAACACACTCAGTTAATATTTTTAAAACAATTTTTAATATGTGGGGGGTTGGGGGGACGTGGGTGTCTCCTTATTTTGTCCAGGCTGGTGTCAAACTCCTGGGCTCAAGAGATCCTTCCACTTTGGCCTTTCAAAGTGTTAGGATTTACAGGTGCTAGCCACCACACCTGGCTCTGAGGTTTCCTTGGCATTTTTGGGTAAATGCCTTAGAATACTCTAGGGCACAAAATTGTTGCTTTCTCTCTAAAATCCTGGGCCA
Organism: Homo sapiens; assembly: GCF_000001405.40. Lineage (NCBI taxonomy): Eukaryota > Metazoa > Chordata > Mammalia > Primates > Hominidae > Homo > Homo sapiens. Next base: position 124,726,447 of record NC_000003.12, on the reverse strand, counting down.
AACATGTTGTAATAATCCTGTGATATTTTTACCTTTTCTAAGTCTTTCATATATTTGGAGAAAGAAAAAAATTACTCTTTTCTTTGAACAAAGGTTTAATTAGGAAAAAAGAGACAACCATATAGTATCTTTAGTATAGTATATTTATAGGAATGCATAACATGTGAGATGTACATTTTGAAGTTTCATCCATAACTTATAACATTTACTGTAGCAGTAACAAGACAGCAGGTCATCACTTTACAACATTACACATGAGTGATTTTGACTTACAAATAAAATATTTACAACCTACCTTTACAAAACGACATTGTGTGCATACAAAATGAACAACAGCAGAAAAATTTAAAAATAATAAAATAACCAAAAACCCAGAAGATACACTTAAGGCAGACCAGCAAGACACTGAAATAATTAAGGCTGTGGAATTCTTCTGCACCTTGAAAATATAGAGCTATTTATCAATACTGTGGAGTGATTTTAAATCAATTGTTACAAGCCTGATGGAAGTATGTACTTATATGTATATGTGCGATGGTCCCTATGGGGAAACCTGTCCACTTATGAATAAGGCCCTTTGTCTGAATGGCCAGTGAAGCCCACTCCAAATTCTCAAAAGACTTGAGGGGGGCAGGGGTCACTCAAAACCAAGAGATGCCAATACAGTTTGCAAATCAACTATTAATAGTTCAAATGTAAAGATAGTTATAAGTCCAGATAAACAGAATAAACTAAATGATGGCCCCTTTATGTTTCACACTTTGTTAGTTTGGCTTTGTGGATGTCAAAAGACAGCAAATTAATTCCAGAATGAGTAGAATTCGTCTCCACAAATTAGCCCTAATGGTTTTGAATGGCCCTAAATGGTTTTCCATTAGAAACATTGACCCACCTGGGCTGTCTGCAAATGGATAGATTTCTGCATATGAGCAATAACATATACATACATATTATACACTATATACATGTACAGATGTACATATATCCATATTTTCCAACAGTTTGCACTTTGATCACTACTGTTCTCTGAACAGGATCTCATTATGAAGAGTATGTTTAGTTTTTTTCAGTCTTCATATTTGTTCTAACTACTAGTTTTACTCACCTTCCCCATAGAGTAGGCTGAAGTTTGGCAGAAACAGAAGTAAAAGCACCAGGGTCAGAAAAATCAAACATAGAGTTGACAGATATGGCTTAAGTTAGTAAGAGAAGATGTATGTCTTGTTAACTTCAGATTCGTAGCCACAGTCTTTGAGGTCATAGTAACAGTCTCTGTAATACTCCAGAACATGGATTCAGTTGTTGATGGAAGTCAGGTATTGATGGAAACTCATATGATGGCCATCCCTGGGCCAACAAATTAGCTTGGTTAAACTAAGCCTCAGGAGTTGGCATTCCAAGAATTGTTATTTGCATTTCTTCTACCATGCTTCCTTTTCTCAGCTAACCTCACTATCTGAAATAGCAGTTATCTAACTAATGCGTTATCTTGATCATTTGAATAAAAACTAAATCTGAACACATTTTAGAATCTCACAGCAAAGGGGCACATTTCTCACAGAAAAATGCAATAGCCTGTGCGTATTAATTTCAGGCTTATCATAATGTCCCTCAAAGACGAAAAGTTGTCTTAGAGTGATTGCTTTTTCCTCTCCTCTAACTTCTTCATATTTATTGAAGATGAGGAAGAAATGCCTTTCATAGAAAATATGTTTTATGATAATCTGTATTCTACTACTTCTGCTTAAATTTTTTATGTGAGTAAATTTCCTATTAAAAACATTTAGTGCTATAAACAAATTTCAGCCCTTTTTAACCCTTTAGAATTAATGAAACAACTGAGAGCCTTAATATTTTTAGAAAATAAATATTAACATAGTAGCTTTCCTTTTCTTGATGGAGCGTGTGTGAGCTCTGTCGTCTCTAAGCCCACCATGGGTTTAATCATTCATCATCAAATCATCCCTAGGCTTTAAATAGTGAGGAAAAATCAAGGTGCAGTTTTATAAATAAATTCACTGAAAGGTCACATATTGCATTTGTCTAACCCAGACTCCACAGAGGTGCGACCCAGGAGAGAAAGGAAGAAGGTCTACATTCCTCGAAACTCATCCAGCACAATTCATTGACCATACTGAATAAGGACATGGTGAGTTTGAACTTTGCCCTACTACAAAGACCTCTTACGTACAAAATAATTTCCTCCTGTATTAAATGCATGGGACAAAGTTTTAGTTAATGCAAAATTTAGTTTATATCATATTTGCTCCCTCATATTCTCACAAATCTAAATTGCCATGCTCTTCCACAGAGGCAAGAAAAAAGTAATGCCTAACTCGTGGGCTCTAATCATGGAGGTTATGGGATAGCAAATATGCAACTCCTAAAAGACCTAACCACCTAAAAAAAAAAAAAAAGATTCAAGGTTTGTCCTCCAAAAATGAGCAGTCCAATTCATTTCTATGCATTTAATTTGCCTGTGCATTTAATTTGTCTCTTAGATTCCTGTGAGGCTGTGAAAAATAAATTGTGGTATGAGAAGATATTTTCTTCTCACTTCTGCCCTCCCAAGTGAAGAAAGTGGTTGTTGGGTTCTTCTCTGTCCTTTTTTCCAGAGCATAAAGCTTGAGAAGGAAGGTAGCAGTTGCTTTCAAGGGCATTTTACTCTTCGCATCTGCCATAAGAAATACTGGAGAAAACAACTTATGGACATAAGACTTCATCAGCTCTCCTAACCCTTTTCGGTAGACAAGCTCTTAAATGATCGAAATTATAGGCTAAGACCAAATAACATTTAGACAAAGAGCACCTGATACTTCCAACTGAAAACAATTTACAGAATTTAATCTCATGAGTTTATAATTGGTATCTAAAGACGTGAATATTGAAAACCTGGAATGTTCAAAGTTACTATCAATAAAATTCTTAGCACTGGCAGTGTGTAGCACTTAAAAAAATCAAAGTATTTTATAGATGTCCCCACCAAGGTTATTTCTCAACATTCCTGTAAGATTAATGTCCTCCCTCCTTCCCCATCCCCCAACTCCCATTTTACCAATGGGGACATTTGGGGAAGGAAAAACAAAGACTTTCTGTAAGAAAAGATGAATCAGGAATAGCTGAGATTGAAACTCAAACATTCCTGGTCCCACCCCTATATTCAGATGTTTTCATTTACAAGATATTTTAAAGTAAAGAAAAAATGCTGCAATATCAGTACATCTAAATGCAATGAACTTCTTTATCTCCCATCCTCCCCTCTGAAAGGCACTACTATTTATAAAGGCTTTGTGGACCACAAAGCAGTGAAGCTAGCTTTCTCCTCTGCTTCCTCTACTCCCCCTTACATTGTTTATGGCTGAGAGAGACCTGAAGGATATCTCCAACATTACCATTTTTTTCTTAAAAATTTTACCACATTCAGCTGTAAGTGGATATATATCTATTTAATTTGAAACAAATGTAAAAGATGTAGGAAATCATTATATTAATACTTCTTAAAAGTTATTATGGGTTGTCCCTGATCTTTTCATTCTTTCTGTATCCCACCCTTACAAAACAAAACAAAACAAAAAGCTCAAAACCCTATGCAATGAATAAAAGCCAAGCAAGAAACTTGTGACCTTGACCATTGTTTGTTTTTCCCATTTCAGCTGAAAGTTCACTCCCACTGTGAACTACCATCATAATGATAGAAATGGACCATTTTCTCTTCTCTCCTCTCTTCTTTACTACCAAGTAATAAATCTCTCCGCCAAAACAGGAACAAGAGTGGCCCCTGATCCTTTTTCCCTAAGCACGGTTGCCCTCAGAGCAACCTAAAGTACATTCCCCAGGATCATCATCATCTGGGATTCCTTGTTATTTCCAACTTGCTGTGGAGAACTCTTGAACCAAGACTACTCTCTTATCTCTGTTGGGAGGGACCAGGAGCTTTGCAGACAGGGAGCCTCCCTGTTAGTTTCCCTCCGTTATCAAACTATATAAAATATACCCCCTTTCTCTTGGGGCCTCTATTAAGTTCATTCTAGTCTAATGATTGTACCTTGGCTCCAGTTAACAAAATCATCCTACTTTTCATTTCTAGGTCCCTCCTTTCCTGTCTTCTCACTTCCCAAATATGTGTACTTGGGGGAATTCCATGCAACCCCACATCTGGATCCTCCCAACTCTGTTGTAAAAGCTGATATGAAAGCTTGGGGTCTGTCTAACATTCTGTCAACTGCCCCCATAACATAATTTCAAAAATACCCTCCTTGTCCCCCACCTGCCGTGGTCTGCACACCATTGTTCTGGGCCCTGGCCTTCTCAAGCAGAAACTCAACTTGTTATAAAAACTCAGAATGGCTCAGCAGGGGGATCTTGATTCAGGTCATCCACAGTGGACAGAACAGAACTTGCCAAGCTGGACTTTATGGATATTGGGAATCCTCAGAGCCTACAGTTTGTCCCATGACAAACCCTATGGGCCAGGCTTTCCTTTTTTTTCGAGACAGAATTTTGCTCTTATTGCCCAGGCTAGAGTGCAGTGGTGCAATCTCGGCTCACGGCAACCTCCGCCTTCCGGTTTCAAGCGATTCTCCTGCCTCAGCCTCCCAAGTCGCTGGGATTACGAGTGCCCGCCACTACGCCCAGATGATTTTTTTGTATTTTTAGTGGAGACAGGGTTTCACCATGTTAGTCAGGCTGGTCTCGAACTGCTGACCTTGTGATCCACCCGCCTCGGCCTCCCAAAGTGCTGGGATCACAGGCGTGAGCCGCCGCGCCCGGCTCAGGCTTTCCTCTTTTATGCTGTATACCATAATGAAGACATGTTTATTGAAAGGGTTTTAGTAAACTGTTTACTAAAAGGATTTTTAGTAAATATGTTTTAAATTTTTTAAACACAATGAAAACATGTTTACTAAAATTTTTTTACTAAATATGTTTTACATTTTGAAAAATTTTAGTAACCATGTTTAATGTATGTTTTAAATTTTTATGTATTGTATCATAGAGTGTTTGTAAATACATAAAGGTCCAAATGAAGACTATAGGGGTTAGTCGAGAGACCTCTGAGGGAGTGAGGCTTTATGACCCAGGGCCATTTGAAAATTAAGAAACAAATACAGTCGGAGTCGGTTTCCATATATTTGGTTAATCCCAAAAATACTAAGTGCTATCTAGTCTTATTGCTTATACTTTCCATTAATTTATCAATCTATAATCTTGGATGGGATGAGGTGGAGGGCGAATGAGGAAGTTGTCTTTGAAACCAATGGAAAAAAAAAGATGATGATTTTTAATTTTACATTTTCTCTGTGGGAATAAGTGTTTTTTATATGTTAAAGTTCAGGCTTAGTTTCCACCATTTCTTTTTCATTTAGATAGGTTTGTAGTTCTATTCATCCTTCATAAATTCTCTTCTTGCACTTCTGTACTACGTGATTTTAATTTTCTCTATCCCATTATAGGAGAGAAGCAACACCATTAAACCTGATTTGAACAAACACTTGAGTTACATTTTTAAAATCTTACTTGTATAATCGCAATTTTCAACACACATTCTAGAAAACTAAGGGTGGATCATGTACAAACACAAAAAACAAGCTCCCTCCCTCCAAAACAAATGAACAAAAATAAAGAAAGAAAACCCATGAAATGCCCAGGTTTAATTTTTTTTCCACCAGAGGGAAAAAGAGCAGTTAATAATAATCTTGTATGGAGAATATACACCAGAAAGCAGCATTGGCCTCAAAGTACAATTAGTCCTTTTAGTTCAGAGAACTATCAGCGGCTGCATGGTGACAGGTATTGCAATCTCAGTTACAACTTAATGCTCTGTTAGGGTGATGTATCAGGTTTTGTTCCATGGCTTTAAAAAGGACTTAGAACCAGGCCTTTAAAAGGCCTATATGGCTGCCTCCTTTTAGTAAGCACCCCTTAGCTTCAATAAGGAGTTAGAAATAAAGCCAGCCAACTTTCTGAAAGATGGTATTCTACAGCTGTAGAAGAAATCAGAAAGTGTTGGTACGTTGTTCATAGGAACTGTAGGAAAGGTTTTCATTTGCCCTTTTATATGAACCTCTTGTATTTGTTTACTTATTTCAAACCTGGTGTAGACACAAAAATATCCCCGCAGCTCATACTGTATTTGAATTTATTTCCTGGCAGGCTTTCTTTCCAGAATAATTCTGAGCTGCCAGTGAATTTGCGGGGAGCGTTTCATATACAGAAAGAACCTATCTTAATCAAATAACCTGCGATTGACAGAAAAAATTTTCTCATTCAAAAGGGCAACATTGCTTTCTCTTAATGCACAGGTTCTGGTAAAAGATTTCTATACAAGATCTATAAAATGCTCTAAAAAAACTTGTCATCTAATTGTGCTTAGTCAAAACAATGTAATGATTCGGTAAATAAATTACTGTCTTAACTGGAGCACTCAAAATTACTTGTGATTGATTTAATATATATATCTCTATATTAGAAAACTCTGAAACCTGAATGGGATATATTATACTGTATGTGGGTATCTATCCTATTAAGAAACTATATCTAAGTTATCTAAACCAGAATAGTTGATATACATGACATCTCCATTAAATAGAACTTCTTGCTTAAAATTTCAGCAAAGCCAGAGATCTTTTATACTCTTGTGAGCTTAAGGTTTGCCCAGTTAACCACTCATTTTGGAAGATACAGTTAAAATTTCGTAACAGCTAATATTGTTCTTATCTTTGCCCTTCTTCTGAACACTTCTGTGACCCTTTGCCTCTTTATTTCTTCAGAATGACCTTCTGAAAAGCCCCTTGATTTAGGGTGACTTTTACTGCTGCTCAGACCCTGAATAACCACTGACGAGGTTTAAGAGGTACATCTCTCAATTCAGAGAACTGCACGGAGTGAAATGATGAACAGAATTATTTACAGTCACATTCAGTCTTGCTTTGGTTCACACTGCACGTCTATGTGAAACCATAGGGGCTGGGAGATGGCTACGTCCCTTGGTTCACCCGGTTGACAATGTAGCTCTTGACATTGGGAATAGGCCGCACATCATTCTGGTGCTTGCGACGTTCTATGAAGCATGCTAGGCGGGAGGTGTCCAGGGGGATCTTAGAGTAGCTGCCATTATGGGGCTGCAGCCATGGATGCTGCAAGCATGTGGCTGCTGTGGGCCGCCTCCGAAAATCTTCCTGTAAGATCACATTGATGAAATCTCTGGCAGCATTGCTCACACCACAGAAGTATTCATGGGGGAAGCTGAAATCCACCCTGCATACGTTGATACATGTCTCCTCTTTGCTCTCATCCAAGAAGGGGGAGACCCCACTCAGCATGACATATGTCAGAACCCCGATGCTCCAGATGTCTGTCCCCAGGGAGACGGGGATGCCTTGAATGACTTCTGGGGCAGCAAACTCAGGGTTCCCCAGCAGGTGGTGAATGTGGAAGTGACCCGAGATCTGGACAGCATCCTCCAAGTCAATGAGCTTCACTCGAGGCACTGGAATCCGTAGGTCAATGAGCAGGTTTTCAGGCTGCAGAGATCCAAGGAAGCAGGGAGAAAAGAAGGGAAGTTTAGGCCTCTATTTTGACTACTCAAAATACCTCATTAATTCAAACACAGTTATGCTATTCTTTGATAAAGCCTATGGTGTACAGAAAATTCCCTATGCACTACGGAAACTGCATAGGATACTTCAAACTATCATTTTGAGCTTACTACACTTTGAGTTTGGGTGGTAATTCAGAGAAGTTGTTTGACATTGAAAATCATGTTTTCTTAACTACACTGCTTCTGCATTGAATCAAGGAAATAATAAATTACTCATTTTGGTGAACAGGGGCTTCTTTTTGAGAAGCATGGAAGAGAAGGTGACGTTTGTTGGCTTACTTCTATGAAGTTAGATTAGGTAGGTAGAACTTCCCTACCTTCTCTCACACCAGATGTCATTGTGGCTCTGGCATATTCTCATTAATTCATGGATGATACACTTAAATTGTGTGACAGCCCAGATTCTCTTTAATAGTCATAATGGGGAGGCCGGGCACGGTGGCTCACACCTATAATCCCAGCACTTTGGGTGGCCAAGGCGGGTGGATCGCAAGGTCAGGAGTTCGAGACCATCCTAGCCAAGATGTTGAAACCCCATCTCTACTAAAAATACAAAAAAATTAGCCAGGCATGGTGGTGGGCGCCTGTAATCCCAGCTACTCAAGAGGCTGAGGCAGAGAATTGCTTGAACCTGGGAGGTAGAGGTTGCAGTGAGCTGAGATCATGCCACTGTACTCCAGCCTGGGTGACAGAGCGAGACTCCATCTCAAAAAAAAAAAAAAAAATAGTCATAATGGGATGGATGTGTTGGCTCACGCCTGTAATCCCAGCACTTTGGGAGGCCAAGGCGGGCAGATCACTTGAGGTCAGGAGTTCAAGACCAGCCTGGCCAACATGATGAAACCCTGTCTCTACTAAAAATACAAAAATTAGCTGGGCATGGTGGTGAGCGCCTGTAATCCCAGCTACTTGGGAGGCTAAGGCAGGAGAATCGCTGGTACCTGGGAGGCGGAGGTTGCAGCGAGCCGAGATCGCACCACTGCACTTCAGCCTCGGCAACAGAGTCAGACTCTGTCTCAAATAAAAAAAAGTTATAATATTCTACTCTAAGTAAATAAAATGAATTTGAATTTATATTCCTTATGAGTAATGACTGGTAAGTTGGACTTGGCCATTTAAGGTATTCCCTGCAAGGTTGCCACTTCTTTTTTTTGAAGGGAGTCTCGCTCTGTCGCCCAGGCTACAGTGCAGTGGCGCGATCTCGGCTCACTGCAAGCTCCGCCTCCCAGGTTCATGCCATTCTCCTGCCTCAGCCTTCCAAGTTGCTGGGACTACAGGTGCCCACCACCACTCCTGGCTAATTTTTTTGTATTTTTTGTATTTTTAGTAGAGACGGGGTTTCACCGTGTCAGCCAGGATGGTCTCGATCTCCTGACCTTGTGATCCGCCCACCTTGGCCTCCCAAAGTGCTGGGATTTCAGGCGTGAGCCACTGCGCCCAGCAGGTTGCCACTTCTTATTACCTTTATGTCCAAATGTGCAACCCTGCAGTTGTGAAGGTACTGCAGAGCCTCCATGATGTCTCGGATATAGAAAGCTACTTTTTCCTCCATCAGTTCATCATGATTCATAAGGTAGTCTAAGAGCCGGCCATCATCCATCCTGAAAGTAGGCAGGGAAAGGCAAAGGAAATATGTTTGAAATGAAGAAATAGAAAAATAACACATGTACAAATCAGTAAGATCTCTAAACTCTCTCATACTTATTGTTATACATGAAGACCAAATGTGCAACACATGCATATTTAGTTAGAGCCTAAAGTTATTGTAATATTCAGAACTAAAATAAATATATTTACAAATATGGTATACTGCAGGGAGTGTGTATAACCTTGTTTAAGAAACATTCTCCTTCATTAACTCTAAAAATTGCTCACAAGAAAAAAGTTGTGACACCCATTTAAGAGGTTTGATTGCTAAGTAAAGAAAGCCTTCACCAAGAGAGACTTCAGCAATATCCTGATTAACCATAACCTAGTGGCTGCAAACAGCCCCACATGTGTTTTGCAAAGTACTTCTTAATTTTATTTTAAGATTAATTTTAGAGATGAAGTCTCACTGTGTCGCCCAGGCTGGAATGCTGTGGCACAATCATAGCTCACTGCAGCCTCGAACTCCTGGACTCAAGTGATCCTCTTGCTTTAGCCCCTCACATAGCTGGGATTTCTGGAGGAGGCCACTGTGCCTAGCCAAACTACTTTCATTTGTCAGTTTTAAGTTGGGGAAAACAGAAAGTAGGCAAAGTTTGTTCTTTGCATTATTGATTCTCTGTCCCTCCCCTACCCCACCACCTTTTTTTTGTTGTTGTTGTTTGTTTGTTTTGTTTTTGAGACAAAGTCTCTCTTTCACCCAGGCTGGAGTGTAGTGGCATGATCTCAGCTCACTGCAACCTCCGCCTCCCAGGTTCAAGCGATTCTGGTGTCTCAGCTTCCCAAGTAGCTGGAATTACAGGCGTGTGCCATCACACTCAGCTAATTTTTGTATTGTTAGTAGAGACAGAGTTTTGCCATGTTGGCCAGGCTGGTCTCAAACTCCTGGTCTCAAGTGATCCACCCGCCTGGGCCTCCCAAAACGGTGGGATTACAAACATGAGCCAGCGTGCCCGGCTCTTGATCCCTTTTTGAATCCTTTGCCTTCTGGGCAACTTTTCCAACCTTGAGAACTGTGATTGAGAACATGGTATATGGAGCCATCCAGACCCAGATTCGAATCCTGGTTCTGTTACCTACCTGCTGAAGGCTGGGAGCAAGTCATTTGAACTCTGTGTTTTGGTTTCACCAAAGTGAACCATCTTTAAAGTGGGAATAAGAACAGCAACAAAATAATAACAATTATTATTCATTATATTAATATAATATAATGAATTAATATTATCATATAGTGGGTGAATATTACTGTTCACCTATTTGATTATGAGGATTGTGCAAGGATGGAGTGAGATGATGAAGCATTTAAGCATAATTGGTAGCATAGGTAAGTGCTAAATAAATGGTAACTATTCTCAGCCACCCTCTGTCCTCTTACAGCAAGGAGTTACCAAATGTCAGGTATTCTTTAGTGTACATTGAGTTGTTAAAGGCACATGCCCAGGAAATGCCCATGCAGAGGAGCCTGATGCAGGGTCAGAAATGACTTTCAGTTACAGCTGAAATCCCCCTGGTCAAGTTTACCTCTTCCCCTCTAGCTTGCTCCTTCCCACTGGTGTCTTCTACTTTCCCTGACAGGAGCAAAGGCTAGAACCCATGCAAGCCTCTTTTGCTTTCCTCTGACCCTGCTAAGGGTGAGGTAAGAGTGATCAGAGTAGAGTGGAGTAGGATTGGGCTTGTTAAATGTATTCCCCTGAACTTCTTGGAGTCATTAAGGGAGCAATTAACAGCAGCACTGCTCCAAGTGAGAGAGTCTTAGCCACCAAGTTCACCTTTAGAGCTTTTGGATAAGGCAGATGCCCACATCCTACCCTAGACTAGGGAATCCAAATCTCAGTTGCCTGGTAAAGAAAGGCTCTCCCAGCAATTCTGGTGACCACCTAAGGGGAGGCCACCGTCACCTAATTGGCAGCATAAGTATTTGCCAAATAAGCATAACAGGATAATGAGATCCAGCACAGGGGTTAGCTCAGGCACTGCCTCTCCACAAACTTTCCCTGAACTTCAGGTCCAACCAAGCACCTATGTTCTCACAGCAATCTTCTCCAATGCATGCTTTTCTTTCTTAGTATTTATCATGTTATATTAAAATCATCCATTTATCTATCTATTGGTCTTCCTCATTAGACTTGTAACTCCTCGAGGGCAAAAACTATATCTTTTCCCCCTATTTTTTTTTTTTTTTTTTGAGATGGAGTCTCACTCTGTCGCCTAGGCTGGAGTGTAGTAGTGTGATCTTGGCTCACTGCAACCTCCACATCCTGGGTTCAAGCAATTCTCCTGCCTCAGCCTCCCGAGTAGCTGGGATTACAGGTGCCTGCCACCATGTCCAGCTAATTTTTGTACTTTTAGTAGAGATGGGGTTTCACCATGTTGGCGAGGCTGGCCTCGAACTCCTGACCTCAAGTGATCCGCCCACCTCGGCCTCTCAAAGTGCTAGAATTACAGGCGTGAGCCATCGTGCCCAGCCCTTTTCCCCCTATAAACTATACCTCTGCCTCCTATAAACTACCCTTATAACTATAACTTTGTTCCCCCGACCCTGGCCCTGGTCTGGATGGTAGTTGGTGCATAGCGAGGGCTCAGTAAACGTTTGCTAAACTAGTTCAACCCACTGTTCATCTAACTTAATCCCTGCAACATCTCTGGGAAGTTGGAGGAATTTCAATCTTCACAGATGAGGACTCGGGGCCCCAGCAAACTAAGTATTCTGCTTCAAATCACAGAGCTGGGACGTGAGCCCAGATTCCTCATTCCAAGAGCAGCTTCTTTCCATTGCACTACAGTAGCCCAATATCAGCACCTTCCCTTGAAACAGCAGTTGGCAAGTCTGAAGGGGCAGAAGTTCTGGGTCAGCTGAACTCAACCTGGTACACAGTGACAATACCTTTCACTGGAACACAAGCACAGATGTTGTCATCTGTGGACAAGTATAGTTCACTAGCAATAGAATAATGTCTTTTGAGTTAGGAGGTTCCCTACAAACAGATCAGGCTCTGAAAGAGACTGTTAAGTCTGTTAAGTCTAAAGTGACAAACTACCAACTACTTAACTACATAAAGTTTAAGTTTCACAAAAGGATTACAGATGCTAGCAGCATGGGGTTTGTCCCCTCTGTTTTTTTTTTTTTCCAGCTGATTTTAAAAATAGCCAAACTTGTTTGCATTTTTGCTTTCTTATTTTATCATAAATAAATTTGTGACAAGTTACTGACTCAAACATCCCGTACACACACACCTAGACTAACAAGCACGCAAGAGCCGGACTAACATGGTAGTTGAAAAGCTGAAAATGCAGGCACTTCTCTACTGAAAAGGGGTTCTTGTGGAGCCATACTCGGCAATGGTCTTTGGCGGAAATGTCTGTCTCCTGTCTAGGCCAAGGGCCTCAGTAGCACCAATCTGATCACATTTCTGTTACTTGTATCACTTCTGAAAAGACTCTGTTCTCTTTAATCTCTGTGATATTTATCTAAACCACAGAACATACTGTCTCTTCTTAGCCTGGGGTAGTGGTGGGGAGAAAGGGACATTATTGCTTTATTACATCTATTCTAGGGGTCACGTATATGGTTGCCTAAGTCCCTAGAAAATCTGGAATGAGTGGAATGTTTTGAAGGTAAGGCTCTCCCCTGGAAGGAATTTTTTTGGGTGGTAGAATGGAGTTGCTATGGTGGTGAATTGACACACAGAGCCCTGTCTTTCAACTCCACCCTGTCAATCAGCCTACTGTCGACAAGCTCTTCCCAAACTCCTGCCCAGCCCAAGAGTCCATAATAGAAAGAAAATAAGCATGGAAGTGAGAGAGATATGGGTTCAAGTCCCAGCTTCTCCATTCCTAGTCTTAAGGAGCTAGTTTTAAGGACTTCCCTTATTCCTATTATGATTTTTTAATCTTTGAAATGGAAATGACATTGATTATAAAATGGGGGAGAGAGTGCATGTTATATGCAGCACTTTGCAAATGATAGGACCTTGTATAAAATGTAACTGTCTTTTCCATTAATTGTGGGCAAAAGCTAACCTAAATGGATGCAGGCGACTTTAGAGAGATGGCGTCTGTACTTACAGTTCCAAGATCAGGATGTAGGATGTGGGGGACTCATAGGTGTCATGGAGAGTGATGTACTGGGGGTGCTGTAGGTGCTGAAGCAGGGCAGCCTCGTGGGCAGCCTGTTCTTTCTTCTTCATTTTTTTGCTAACAAATTTCACAGCCACATCTTTGCGGGTAGCTTTGTGAATGCATTTCTTTACTATAGAGAAACGGCCTCTGGAAAAACAAAAGGGAGAGTTTGCCAACATTCATTAATTAACTAGATATATTTTATTCATGGATAAGTAAAGTTTTGTGGGAAGTGGTCAGATAGATCTTATTAGGAATCCTACTCTCCTATATTTTTAATTATAATGTTATTCAGAGAATCCATTTTTCCTTCTTTAGCATTTTAGGGTTTTTGAGATGTCAAAAACTTTTTATATTATATATAATCTAATTACATTATAAATTATATTTTTATATGTAATATAAAGCTTTTTTTTTTTTTTTTTCTGAGACAGGGTCTTGCTCTGCTACCCAGGCTAGAGTGCAGTCATGTGATCATGGCTCACTTCAGCCTCAACTTTCCAGGCTCAAGCCTCTTGCTTCGGCCTCCCAAAGCGCTGGGATTACAGGTGTGAGCCACTCTGCCTGGCCTAACTAATGTAATTTTTTAAACCAACATTTTTCTCTGCCATTTTAACCATCAATGGCAGTTCAGTTTTCTTTTCGAGGCAGAATATGTATTTCTGTGAAATACAACAATAGAAACAGCAATAATGTTAAAGAAGGAGGAATTCTACTCAACGATAATTTTAAAAACATTTTTATTATTTTTTTCTCCTTCTCATACATACCAATTCTACTTCCTTCAAGGTCTAGCACAAATGCTAACTCTTTGTGGGGCCATGACACGATGAAAAAGCCAGACTGTAAAGCCATTGCAAATTGGATTTTTGTTTTTTAATTTCAATAGGTTTTTGGGGAACAGGTGGTGTTTGGTTACATGAATATGTTCTTTAGAGGGTGATTTCTGAGATTTTGGTGCACCCATCACCCAAGCAGTGTACACAGTACCCAATGTGTAGTCTTTTATCTCTCACCACCCTCTCACCCTTTCCCCCAAGTCCCCAAAGTCCATCATATCATTCTTATGCCTTTGTGTCCTCATAGCTTAGCTCTCATTAAAAAGATTTTAAAGAGTCCATCATTTCATTTTATTTTATGTTTGTTATCTTCTTATTATGGAAACTTTCTAATATACACAAAAGTAAAGAAAATAGCAAAATAGATCTCCTATGCAGCCAACTTCAATAATCATGAACAATTTAATCAATTTTGTTTCATCTATCTCTTTTCTATCCCCTGCTTTTTTCCACCCTGGAATATTTTAAGCAAATCCAGATATAATGTCATGTCACTCATAAATACTTCAGTTTACATCCCTATCGACAAGAACACTTAGAAATATACAACCACTCTGCCATTATTGCATCTGACAAAATTACCCACCCCTGAAATAGAATGGTTCCCAGATACAGCTGTTGCCCTGTGGAAGGTGGCAAGAGAGCTCTGTAGGGCACAGGTCAGCAATGGGGCAGATGAAGGGAGGGTCAATGAGGTGACAAGGCAGCACCATCCAAGCCCTGCCCATGAGGTGTCCTAACCCACGAGCAGAGGAGAGAACAGTCTGAAGACCAGCCCATTCCTCCAACAGAAATGGGTGTGTCATGGCCACCATGAAGATGATCTAACTGCCTCCTTGACCTGGCTCTGTGCTCAAAAGACAACTTTCTAATAATACTTTTTTTCTCATCATATATTTGCATAAAATAATGTGCTAATAAGGCCAGGTGCAATGGCTCATGCTTGTCATCCCAGTGCTTTGGGAAGCTGAGACAAGAGGATTGCTTGAGCCCAGGAGTTTGAGACTAGCCTGGACAACATAGTGAGATCCTTTCGCTTTAAAAATTTTTTTTAAAAAAATAATGTACTAATCAGTAAAACAAGTCTTAGACAAGTATTTATTGAATATATATTATTTACCAAATATCATTCTTGGCACAGTAAGCAAATATTTGGTCAAAATGGCAGTTTTGTTTCACATCATAAATTAATAAATTGCCATTCTGGTTTTAACAGCACTCTCTTTGTGAGTTTGATTATCATAAGTTACTTCTTGCAGAGGAGTGAAATGAAACAATGAAAACAATTGAATGCTGAGGATAGCTCTCCCGAATTTAGTGGCCATCTCAAGGTACTGCTAGCTTAATTTTTAGAAAAAGGTTTGTAGTTGTCAAAGTTATGCAGACCCATGGTTTAAAAAGTCAACTATCTTTACAGGTTTGTTATTTAAAAACAATTCATCCCCATTTTTCCTTCCCTGGAGTCTTGCTCTGTCACCCACGCTTGAGTGCAGTAGCATGATCTTGGCTCACTGCAATCTCTGCCTCCCAAGCTCAAGTGATCCTCCAACCTCAGCCTCCCAAGTAGCTGGGACTATAGGCGTGTACCACCATACCTGTCTAATTTTTTGTATTTTTTTGTAGAGACAGGATTTTGCCATATTGCCGAGGCTGGTCTTGAATTCCTGAGCTCAAAGCGATCCGCCCACCTTGGCCTCCCAAAGTGCTGGGCTTATAGGTGTGAGACATTGTGCCTGGCCTGAGAGGCAGTTTAATATATCAATTTAATATAGTTTAGCAGATTATTGAAATATTTACTTCTATGACTCTCAATAGTATGCTTTGAGTGGCTACTTCTTGATTTTTCAGTTTTAATTATTTCTGTTGACATCCCACTGTGGAAGATGAGATTTTAGCCTCCTTCCTCCCTCTGTCCCTGCCACATAACTACTATCCCCAACCACTGTCTTCCCAATAGAATTATAATCAATATTCAGTATCTACATTACTACACTATGTCCATGCTATTCACAGTTGAGCCTCTAGTAAACTATGAATACTTTTCCTTTTTGTGATAGAATGCAATCTTCAATCATTTCTGACAAAGAGTGCATGGGAAATAAATTGTTTCAGACTTGCATATCTGAAAATTTGTACTTATTCTACTTTTATACTTGATTGTGAGTTTAGCTGAGTATAATCCAGTTGGGAAAACTTTTCATTCACAATTTTGAAGGAATTATTCTGTTGCCTTCCAACTTCTATTGTTGCTGGTAATGTTGACTGCTAATGTCTAAAGCATTATGATTCCTAATCCTTCATGACCCCTTTTCCTCATGGAGAATTTGTAGGTTCTTCTCTTTTCCTGGGTGTTGAGAAATTTCACAGTTATGTGCTGCAGTATGATCTATTTTCATCCATTAGGTTGGGCACTCGGGTGCTCTCTCAATTAGTAAACTCATGTCTTTTCATTCTGGGAATATCTTATTTTTTAGAAACAATTCCTTCTTCTCTGTTTTATTTGTTCTATTCTCTCTTTCTGGAATTTCTGTTTTTCAAATTGGAACTTCTAGTCTAGTCCTCTAATTCTTCTTTTCCTATTCTATTTCCCATTTATTTTCCGGTTGCTCAGATTTCTGGGAAATTTCCTCAACTCTGTCTTCCCACACTTCTATTAAGGTTTTCAGGTCAGGTGCAGTGGCTCACGCCTGTAATCCCAACACCTTGGGAGACCAAGGTGGGTGCATCACTTGAGGACAAGAGTTCAAGACCAGCCTGGACAACATGGTGAAACCCTGTTTCTACTAAATATACAAAAATTAGCCAGGCATGGTTGTGCGTGCCTGTAATCCCAGCTACTCAGGAGACTGAGGCACAAAAATCACTTGAACTTGGGAGGCAGAGGTTGCAGTGAGCCAAGATTGTGCCACTGCACTCCAGCCTGGGTGAAAGAGCAAGACTCTGTCTAAATAAATAAATAAATAAAAATAAAATTTTAAAAAAGGTTCTGTTTTCATTTTTTGTTTCTTTTTTATTGCAGGATTATGCTCTTGTTTTGTAATTTCAATATTATCTTTTATCTAAGGATACTAATGAGAGTTTTTGGAAGTCTTTTGCTATATAGTTTGTTTCCTTTCTTCTACTTTTGTTTTGATTTCTGTCTTTCATTTTAAAGATTTTCCTCAACTGTTCAGAAATTCTTAGTAGTCAATTCATTTCACCTGGAGGATATTTTTGCTAGATTTAGAATTCTTGGTGGCCAGCTCTTTCCTTTAAGCATTTTAAAGATGTTGGTTCTGCTGTCTTCTTGCCTCCATGAATTCTGATGAGAAATCTGCTGTCATTCGAGTCACTGTTCTACCTAAATGTAATATGTTGTTTTTTTCTCTTGTTTCTTTCAAGATTTTTTTTCATATATTTGTTTTCAGCAGTTTGATTACAATGTGTTCTGGGCATGGTTTTTGTTTGTTTTTTATTTAGGTCACCAAGCTTCTTTAAAAATTTGTGTCTTTTACCAAATTTGGGACATTTCCAGTTGTTATTTCTTCAAAAATTTTTTCTGCACCAATCACTTTTTTCTTTCCCTTAGGAGTTCTAATGACATGAATGTCAGACCTTTTGATATTTTTCCATAGGTCCCTGGGGTTACGTCTAATATTTGTAAAACATTTTTTCTCTCTATTCTTCATGTCAGATAATTTATATTTCTTCCTCTTCAATTTCACCAACTCCTCCATCAGCTTTGTTCTGCTATTGAATCCATGCTGTAAATTTAAAAATTTTAGATATTGTATTTTTTGTTATGCAATTTAAATTTAAAAATCATTTCTATTTCTCTGTCAATAACTTCTATCTTTCCATTCATTTCAAGAGTATTCACCTTTACCTTACAGAGGATGGTTGTAATTGCTACTTTAAAGTCTTTGTGTGATAGTTCCAATATTTGGATCATGTCAGAGCTGGCATCTGTTGATTGTTTTCTTCCCGAGAATTTTTTAAGTTTTTTCTGCTTTTTGTAATGTTGAACAAATTTAGATTGTATCCCAAACATTTCAAATGTTATGTTGTGAGACTGATTCTGTTAAAATCCTCTGGAGGAGTTTGATTTTTGGTTTATTTGTATGTTTTGGTCAGCAATCAACTTGGTTAGGTTCAGACTGCAAGTTCTGTCTCACCTTCTGTGGGAGGTGGTTCTATTGTCAGTTCAGTTTTCAGTGTTTACTATGCTTTTAGGTCTGCCCCTTGTGAGCACCACACAAAGATTAGTCTGAGACTAAACAGTCACTGAGCAGTGGTTTACATCATAGTCCAGTTCTCAGAGCCTTGCTATATTTCTTTGGATGTGCCTCATACAAGCACAGCTGGAAGGTGGCCCAGGATTTGAGTCATTTCATATAGAATTAGGAGATCTTCTTCTTTTGCTTTCTCCTGAGATTTCCCCTGCATTCTTTATCTCCCAAGTGCCCCTTTTTGAAGTTGTCTGGCCAGAAAGATGGGATTCCCTCAGAGGTTTAGCTTCCTGCATTGTCATGCAGTTTCACATGACTGCCCTCGGGGTGAAGCAGTGACAGTAAGGAGACACAAAAAAACAATTAAGCATGAATTATTCTGTTCTCTCCAGCTCAAAGGGTTCCCTTTTCTTTGTCCTTTGGCCAGAAATGTGGGGTTTTCTTGGAGTTTTTGCTGTTTGTGCATGCTACATAGTTCTTTGATTTGGCCCACACTTGTATCAAAGCTGGGGAGATAAAGGAGAAAAGAGGAAAGAAGAAAAAAGGTAGGAAGGAAGAAGGGAAGGAAGGAGGGAAGGAAGGAAGGAGGGAAGGAAGGAAGGAAGGAAGGAAGGAAGGAAGGAAGGAAGGAAGGAAGGAAACTGCTATTCTCCTTGTCATTAGCCATTCTTCAAGTTTTTACTTTACTTTCTTTCCTTTTATTTTTTTGAGACAGGCTCTTGCTCTGTTGCCCAGGCTGGAATGCAGTGGTGCGATCTCGACCTCCCAGGCTCAAGCAATCCTCCCACCTCAGCTTCCCAAGTAGCTGGGACTACAGGTGTGCACCACCATGCCTAGCTAGTTTTTTCTTTTATTTTTTGTAGAGATGAAGTCTCGCCATGTTGCCCAGGCTGGTCTTGGACTCCTGGGCTCAAGTGATCCTCCTGCCTCAGCCTCCCAAAGTGCTGGGATTACAGGCGTGAGCCACCACACCCAGCCCAAGTCTTTTGTCTTTCCACTCTCATCTCTATTATTTAATTTGATACCCAGGTATTGCTTTTTGTATCTTGTCCAGGGATTCTGGTTGTAATCAGTGGGAGATAAAGGCTACAGTGGGCTTACTCTATCTTGGGTGGCATTGGGAGTTGGCTCATTTTGAAAGTTCAGGAATAAAAACGTGTTTGGTGGCAGGGCACGGTGGCTCACACCTGTAATCCCAGCACTTTGGGAGGCTGAGGCAGGCGGATCACCTGAGGTCAAGAGTTTGAGATCAGCCTGGCCAACATGGAGAAACCCCATCTTTACTAAAAATACAAAAATTAGCCGGGCATGGTGGCAGGCACCTGTAATTCCAGCTGCTCGGGAGGCTGAGGCAGGAGAATCGCTTGAACCTGGGAGGTAGATGTTGCAGTGAGCCAAGACTGCATCACTGCACTCCAGCCTGGGAGACAGAGCGAGACTCTGTCTCAAAAAAAAAAAAGAAAAAGAAAAAAGATGTTTAGAAGCTCTGAGCTTGTGGGTGAAGCCTGTCACCTTTTACTTTACTACAGAGTGATTTGACAAGACTGCTCAGTTGGGAAAGCTCCACAATCAGTATCTTTAAGTCTTTCCTTTTGGGCTGGTTAGAGTTCCCAGAGAAAGAGCCCTCTGCTTTCTGCCTAGAGGGTGAAACCCTGGCTGTCAACCTCTGGAGGTCCAGTGGATAAGAGAGCTGGGGTTCTGAGTACCCAGCATGCATACATTCTCATATTGTCCCTGTTTGCAGAATGGCTCCACTGCCTTCAACTGTGCCTGGTGTCCCCAAGGGCAGGGATGCTCCATTTTTCCCTTTCCAGAAAATAAAACTCCAGGCCAGGCACGGTGGATTATGCCTGCAATCCCAGCACTTTGGGAGGCCAAGGCGGGAGGACTGCTTGAAACTGGGAATTCGAGACCAACCTGGGCAACATAGGGAGACCTTGTCTCTATGAAAAATTAAAAAGTTAGCTGGGCATAATGGTGTGTGTCTGTAGTCCCAGCTACTTGGGAGGCTAAGAGGATCACTTGAGCCCAGGAGGTCAAGGATGCAGTGAACCATGATTGAGCCACTGCAGTCCAGCCTAGGTGACAGAGTGAGACCCTGTCCTAAAACAACAACGACAACAAAAGAAACAAAGAAATAAGAAAGAGAGAGAGAGAAAGAGGGAGGAAGGAAGGGAGGGAGGGAAGGAAGGAAGGAAGGAAGGAAGGAAGGGAGGAAGGAAGGAAGGAAGGGAGGGACCAGTCTTTTCTTGGATGAAGAAAGACAATCACACAGATACTTGAAGCTGGGGAGCAGATTTGGAGCCAGCTTATCCCTTGGGAATGCTGACTGGTTGCCTGTATAGAATCTAAATTGTAGCAGGACCAGGCCTCCAGGTAAGGATGGCAGGCTGAACACAGACATCAGTTTTCACTCCCTTCTGAGACTCAACTTCTCAAAAAATTTCAGCCAATCCTTTCAATTTTAGCATCCTCCTTTTACCTACTTCCAGAGGTACGTGATGCTCCTAATACCTGAGCTTTTGGGTAATTCTGCTGCAAAAATTATACTGGCCCTCATTTGACCCCATGACTGACTGACTCACTCAGGTCTTGAAGGTCATTTATCATTCTTTCATCTGTTTTTCTGTAGAAGAAAAACATGAATTTCTGTGAAAAACATCTGTATTTCTGTGAAAATAATACTTTATTTTTGTCTCTTCTTCCAATGTCCTCATTCTTATATGCCTACTTAAAAAAATAAAATAAAATAAAATAAACCCTGCATTATAGTTTCAATGAAGTTTAGGAAGAAGTGAAGATAGATGCCTGTGTTCAACCTGCCATCTGACCTGGAGGCCTGGTACTGCTACCTTTTTATATAGCAATGGGTATAGGCAATGGGTCAGCATTTCCAGTGACAATCCCCTGCCTTCTCTATACTGCATTGTTGCCTGTATAGTTCATTCCTGGTTAAACACGCCATACTCAAGTGCCCTTTCCTTCTATGGATGTGCTGTAGGAGAGAATCTTCCTGCACTGTGGCTTTTTATAGTATTTAATTACCAGAGCACTCCTTTTAACAGAATAGTCACAAAGGCCCAGAATTCCAGATTTAGGTGTGATGAAGCAAGTCGATTGACTTCTACAGCCCTGGCACAGATATCTTTCCTGTGTCTCACATTAACATCTCCATGTATTATTTGGGCCTGGTGGGGTGGCTCACGCCTGTAATCCCAGTACTTTGGGAGGCCAAGGTGGGTGGATTGCTTGAGCTCAGGAGTTTGAGATTACCCTGGGCAACATGGTGAAATACCGTATCTACAAAAAAAATGCAAAAATTAGCTGGCTGTGATGGCTCACGCCTGTAGTCCCAGCTACTTGGGAGGTTGAGGTGGGAGGATCACTTGAGCCTGGAAGGTCGAAACTGCAGTGAGCAGTGATCATGCCACTGCACTCAAGCCTGGGCAACATAGTGAGTCCCTGTCTCAAAGAAAAAAGAAAAAAGAAAAAAAAAGAATTTCCATGTATTATTTCCATTCTGTTAATGTACAACATTTTGAAAAGATCTTCTGAAAATATAAGGACTATTCTTAGGAGAGAGGACAAGCTTCAGGCTGTTAGAGACTTTAAAACAAAAACATCGATTACTTTTGAACAGATAAGAAAATTGATCTTCCCTTTGAGAAATATCAAATCAGCCATCTGTTTTAGCTAAAACATGACTTAACCTATGGCTAATAATAGCAAACACATGCCTCCAGGAGGAATTAACTGGGGCATCCGGGTGATGAAACCAATTTCATTTAGAACTAGCTGGGGATTTAATCGGCCCATTATTGGGGGTCATGTTTAGCTTCACAAATTTCAATATAATAAAGCAAACTAGATTTCAGTTACTAGAGCTTATTTTGGACAATAATCGATATGATGAGAAACAATATATGCTAGTAAAACAAGACCAGGCTTGGAGTTGGGTAGCCCAGAATTTGAATCCTGGCTCCACACCTCCTAGTTGTGGGGCTTTAAGAAAGTTACTTAACCTCCCTGACCCTGAGTTTCCTTTACTGAAAATATACTTCAGGCTGGGTGAGATGGGTGGCTCACACCTGTAATCCCACACTTTGGGAGACTGAGGCAGGAGGATTGCTTGAGCCCAGGAATTTGAGACCAGCCTGGGCAACATAGTGAGAACTCCATCTCTACAAAACAACAACAAAAGATTCTTTTAAAAGTTTGCCAGGTATGGTGGTGTGCACCTGTAGTCCCAGCTACTTGGAAGACTGATCATCCTCCCCGCAAGCGTGGGAGGATAGCTTCTTAGGAGATTGAGGGTGCAGTGAGCTATGATACTGCCACTGCATTCCAGCCCTGGTGACAGAGACAGACCCTGTCTCAAAAAGAGAAAAAAGAAGACAAAAAGACAATATACTCAGCCTGGTGCAATGGCTCAGGCCTGTAATCTCAGCACTTTGGGAGGCTGAGGTAGGAGGATTGCTTGAGCCCAGGAGTTCAAGACCAGCCTGGGCAACATAGCAATAACCGATCTCTATCTTTTTTTTTTAAATCTGCTCAAACAGTATCTCATAGTGTTGTATGGATTAAATTAAATAATGTTTGTGTATTAAGCAGTAGAGCTCAAACAAACAAAAATAACATTTGTATATAGTATCTGCTTAGTATCTAGAATACTATAGATACTGAGATCATCATTATCATCATCACCATTACATAAATTTCCTTGGCTTTTTTTCTTCTGTTTGGCTACACAAAGAAGACAGGAAAGGAGAGGTAGAGTTTGTTTTTGATGAAAGGTGCTGTAACGGAAGGCAGTGAATGATATTGTGACTCCTGCCTAAGACACAGGCAGAAGGACCATTTTGGTTTCCTCTACAACGTCGGTCACAACCACGTCAGTTAAAAAATGTTATGCTTCACTGAGAAATGCTAATCAGAGCTAGAAATGATGTCAATGGCCCATCGTTAGTGGGTATTCTTTTATTTATACATCCGGGGGGAAGGATCTTACGGGTGGGCAACCTGTAAGATCTACCTACATTCCCTCACACAGACCACCTGGAGACCAAAGCATGCATAGGGATGAATGCCTTTTGTTTCTTTCCCATAGACTATTTTGTGGGCCAGGTGATAGATTTTTAATTTTTCTGTTAAAAGTCATATTTTTATCTGTTTTATTTTTGAGGACACACTAAATGTTCTCTAACCAAAATACTGCAAGTGAGAAAGAGAGAGAAAGAGAAAGGTATGGAGTGTATGTGTGTGGCAGGGGGAGGATTGGGATTAGAAATACTCATAAAATAATTAATGTGCTTGGTACACGGGCAATATAGAGATGTATATCCAACAATTAGTGATTGCACAGTCTTCCCAGGAACATGTGGAAATTTTTACAAAAAGTAACCATGTACTACTCATAAAGCAAGTCCAAACAAAAACCAAGGAATCAGTACCATATAGATTTTCTGACCACAATGCAAATTAAGTTAGAAATCAGTAATAAAAAGATACTTTAAAAAAACTCATACCTTTAAAAATCTCATATATATTAAAACATGTTTCCATTATAACCAGGTCAAAGAAAAATTCACAGTTGAAGACAACTACATATAACTTATAAGGAAAATACTGCATATCAAAACTCAGGACCTATAGCTAAAATTGTACTTTGAAGAAAATTTTGGGCCTTAATTTCTTATATTAGAAAAGAAGAAAGGTTGACAACTGATGAATGAAGCATCCAACTTAAGAAGTTAGAAAAAGAACAGTAGAAAATACAAACGAATATTTTAGTTTTTTTCTTGCTATGGAGAGAATTGCATTTGTAAAAGAAATAAACAATGACAACAACAAAAAGTTACTGTTCTGATGTGATGTTGCTAGGTGTTCATGAATGAAGGAATATAAAACTGTGTCATTACCTTCCAATTTCATTCAGCTCAGTGTAAGCTGAGTCAAAATTTTCCTTCCAAGAAATGGTGGCACCATCAGCAGCAGCATCTTCGGAAGAAAGAGAATCCATTTACAATATCGAGGATGTCATATAAGAATAAAGAAAAAATTAACAGAAAAGCTCCAGAGTAACCCCAAAGCAATTCTCATGACCAAATATGGAGTCTGACTCAGTGGGAAAATGCCATGATTCTCTGGAATGTTATTTTAAAAAATCATCCAAGGGGAAACTGACATGACAGAGTCAGCTTCTCTCTCCCATCTACTTAAACAAAGGGAAAACGCAGTACAATCAGAAATATGACTTATGGATATTTTATAAGATAAATTTAGGAGAAAAATTTAAAAGGGATAAAAGAACACTTTGAAGACCTAGAAAAGCTCGTGAAAATCAGGGGTGTAAGGAGGATGCAGAGAGAGAAGGGAAAAGTTACAAGGTCAAGAAAGGAGAAAAGGAAAAGACATTTTAGAAATTTCTCTTTCTAACCTGAGCCACATAGCAAGACCCTGTCTCTACAAAAAAATCAAAAACTAGCCAGGTATGGTGGTGTACACTTGTAGTCCCAGCTACTCAGGAGGCTGAGGTTGGAGGATCACTTGAGCTCAGGAGGTCGAGGCTGCAATGAGCTATGATCGCGCCACTGCACTCCAGCCTGGGAGACAGAGCGAGACCCTGTCTCCAAAAAAAAAAAAAAAAGAAAGAAAGAAAGAAAAAGAAAAAATTATCTTCTTATCCCGCTCTTCTCAGGCATTAATGAGCTTATCTGGTATACTGAAGGATTTAGCTTAACCCACAATATATGCCTGAGTAGATTCTTTGGCAGTATTACCTTGTGTGATGTGTCAATTCCTTGGCAATGATTCACGCACGCGTGCACACACACACGCACACAGAGCAAGCACAGCAATACGCATTTGTGTCATCTGTTGGGGACCAAGGTTCACAAATAGCAAAACACACAGCATCATCCGGGGCTGGAGCAAGTGAGCAGCCTGGGAGGAGAGGGGTCACATGAGCAGCTTGGCTCAGCTGACCCTGGAGCCAGTTCCCTCAGGTTTCCCAGAGCACAGCCTGGCTGAGACTGAAGGCGGCTTATCCATCTTGAATTCTGAGGAAACAGAGACCCAGGGCGTAGGTTTCTGCAAGAGTCACAGGCTCGTGGGAACAAAGTCAAAGTCACTGGGAGAAAACCGGGCTGACTGTGGGACTGGAACTGGAGAGCATTTCTGGATTCAGGTGGGGGCAGAGGTGATTTAGAGGGTTTCCCAAACCCCTCTGGAGACTCCAGAATTCCCTTAACCCTAAGGCACACAGGTCCATGGTCTTTCGAGTACAGTCAGCTGCCCCCCACCCACTGCTCTCCCCAGTACACACAGACCACTCCCTTGCACTGCCCAAAATCTCACCATTTGGAGATTTCTTTAGGATAGCCAAGTTTTCTCTTTCAAAATGTCCCTGGGACGAAGATGTTTTGGGCAAAATAAGAACCTTATTTGTAAAATACTCATATTTAGCTAGCTATATGTGTATCTTAGTTACTTTTTCAACAAATCTACATAAAATTATACCCATGTTGAAAAAAGAAATTCTGGGATGATTGGGGGTGAGGAAACTATGAAATCCTCATGTTGTAATGAAGTCCTTCAGCCAGGTTGCTTTTCTTTCCCCCATTTGAAGTGGGTGAGTCCCTCATGCAGGGAGGTACATTTACGGCTGGCAGGGGTGCCCGGGTGGGAGGAGGCTTTGTATTACTGTCTCAGAAGAGGGGCAGAGAACATCCACAGGACTCATGACTCCTGCCTGTAACTCTCCATTCCTGGGGACATACTCATTCCCCAGGGAACTTGGCAGGTGCAGGGGTAGGCATGGGTGCAGACCTAACATTTGCCCAAGATGCTTGGAGCTATACTTTACAGAAACATTCTTCTTAGTCCTCTAAAAGGTGCCTCTTGCATGGTGGCCTGACATGTCAACGTGCCCAGGAGTCTGTGACAGGCAGCCAGGTGCCTCAATCCCACTGCCTGGGGGGCCAGGGCTGGGCTGGGACTCACCATATTCTGGAAGTCGCACAAACTCCGAGGGCTCGCTGGGAAGGCTGATTCCCCAGGGGTTACTGGCACTGACTCTGAACTGATAAGGACACCCGGGACTAAGGTCTTCGATGACGAGGTAAGTGTCCAAGGTCGAAGCCACTGACTGCTGCCAGATCTGAGAACCTAGTGTACAGTTTCCCAGGAGAGGGAAAGAGAAAAGCCAAAGGGATATTGTTTCAAAGACCTTCAGCAAACAAAGACAGGAAAATAGACACATTCAATTCAAGGGATGCTTGTGGTTACCGTGTCAGGCTCTGAAAGCCTGTAGGCTAACTATGGTAGTTTGGATTCGGTTTCCTAAATGACGGAATAAATGGTGAGAGGCGTGGAAGAAGCTGGCCTATAGATTCTGTTCACTTTCAAATGTGCAAGTGCCAGAGTAAAAAGACATAGATAATACAGAATTTACAGGGGACACATGGCAAACTTTTAATAAGGCCAGAAGAGTATATTTTTAGTTAATAACATGAGAGAAAATATGCATTTGGAAATGGAAACAAAATGGAAAGTAACATGTATTGAACACTACGTACACGTAAAATACTGTGGAAGGTGTTTTCAACATAATTCTCTCATAGTTAAATGAGATTTAAGACAGAAAGTTAATTCTGTCTTAAATCCACAGAAACCCAGTGAGGTAGAGACCGCTAATCTTACTTTACAGATGTAGAAACTGAGCCTCAGAAATATTGAACAATTTGCCCAAGAGAACTTAGTTAATGAGCTGAACTATGAACTGGATAATGCTAAGGTAAACATGAACTTTGTAAAATGTGTCTCCCAGCTCACTATTAATACTTTTGTGCTAACCTGGGAGACACAAGAGTGAACAGCTTAAGAAGGATGCAGAAATAAATGGGTTTATAACTGCATAGGGCCTGTTTAATAAGAAAGAAGGAGAAAGAAGAGTTAAAATAATAAGCATAATGGAAAGTAGAATAAAACAAATGGTTTTGGTTCGGGGGATAGGGTAGCAAGCACTTGCTTTCAGTTCAATTGTGTAATTCCTAATGTTATTCAGAGTAATTGTGTTATTACTGTGAATAACTGTAGTTGTGTTATTAACAATTAGAGCTATCTGGCAGCTTCTTATTTTAACTAATTCTTGCTAACTAGATGGAAGTCTCAGTTGTTTCTAACTGCTGAAGAAATATATTCACTTTTAGCATGTAAATGTAACAAATTTTAACAGTTTAAATTGCACAATTTTAAACGGCACAATTAAAAAATATATATTCTCTTAATTTTATCTGGGGATAGGGGGTGTAGAACTCCACCCGTACTACACTAGTTATTTCTCTGGGAGAAAGATCACAAATTATCCAAGTAGACATCTGGGTTCTAGTGCTAGCTCTGCCTCTCACTAACTATAATCTTGTGTTTCTTAACTTTCTTTAGGCCTCAGCCTCCCACTCTGTAAAATGGGATTGATCATCCCTGTCTGGGTGATCGAGCATGTTAAGTAGGGATACATGCATGAAGACACCTTGAAACCTGCCCTGGGTCATAAATATGTCAGGGAGGTTTGGATCATCTTAGCCAAAACAGCTGCTCGACATCTGGGATCAGAAGGCAGCTGTAATCTGGCACTGAGGCCTCTGTGCTGAGTTGGAAGACACAACAAGGAACAACTTCTGAAAGATGAGGAGGCTAATATGTTCACAATTCTGAAGGACCTCCTAGAGACGAAGAGAAGACAGAAAAACAAGAGCAGGAGGCCGGGCGCGGTGGCTTACGCCTGTAATCCCAGCACTTCCGGAGGCTGAGGCAAGTGGACTGTTTGCGCTCAGGAGTTTCACAGCAGCCAGCAGCCTGGGCAGCATAGTGAGACCCTGTCTCTACTAAAAATACAAAAATTAGCCGGGTGTGGTGGTGTGCGCTTTAGTCCCAGCTACTCAGGAGGCTGAGGTGGGAGGTTGGCTTGAGCCCAGGAGGTGGAGGCTGCAGTGAGCCCACATTGCACCACTGCACTCCAGCCTGGGTTGATGGAGCCAAACCCTGTCTCAAAAAAAATAAACAATAAAAATAAAGGAAAATAAAAGTGGCTCATGCCTGTAATCCCAGCACTTTGGGAGGCCAAGGTGGGAGGATCACGTTAGCCCTGGCGTTTGAGACCAGCCTGGGCAATATAGCAATAGCCTGTCTCTATTCAAATTTTTGAAAAAATGGTTAGCATGGTAAATTTTATTATGTGTGTTTTACTGCAATTTTAAAAATAAATGTTTTAAAAGAAGAGAAAAGAAAAAGAAGAGCAGGAGATAGTGCACCTTCCTCTCTGTACTCCACAGTGTAACCAGAAATAGTGCAGTTTCCTGTGCTGGAGGGGGGCAGCCAGCGGAGAATCACGGAGGTGCAGCTTCTCTCCTGGGCAATGGGGCGGTTAGGGGCTGCTGGAACACCTATGGAGACAGAAATCAGGATCAGGTGCTATTTCTGCAGAACTTGGCATTTTACACCAAGGTATAAGTCATCTAGGAAACATTACCTAACCGATGTCACAATTTTTTCCTGTGACCTTCTCCACCAAGTGGCATACCTTTCTCCAGGCCCAAGGCAGATGTGGGAGACACACCATGCTGTCTGAAGTTCTTCCTTGGGCTAAATACTGCACCCTGAAGATAAAGCTTGGCCAGGGAACTAACATGTTGATGGTAGGTTTATGGTAGGCCACAGACAGCTCTTAGCAAAGATTCGTTCTCGTCTCATTTGCCAGAACTTTATTTTTGAATTTTTACAATGGACATTTTCTCCCCCAGGTCGCAGGGAGCCCTTATAATGTTCACTTAAAACGTAGTGCCAGGTGTGCTGGCTGACGCCTATAATCCTAGCACTTTGGGATGCCAAGGCAGGAGGATCACTTGAGCCCAGGAGTTCGAGGCTCCATCACTACAAAAAGTTTAAAAAATGAGCTGGGCATGGTGGCACATGCCTATAGTCCTAGCTAGTTGGAAGGCTGAGGTGGGAGGATAGCTTGAGCCTGGGAGGTTGAGGCTGCAGTGAGTGGTGTCATGCTACTGCACTCCAGCCTGAGCGACAGAGCAAGACCCTGTCTCAAGAAAAAATAAAGTTTGAGTAACACAAATTGATAGAGACAGAAAGTAGAGCAGTGGTGGCCAAGAAGCACTGGGGAGGAGGGAATGGGGAGTCATTGTTCAACAGGTACAGATGCAGTTTCAGAAAGATGGGAAGATGAAAAAGTTCTGTGGATGGATGGTGGTGATGGTAACCCAAAAATGTGGATGTACTTAATGCCACTGAACTGTACACTTATTTATTTATTTTTAAGCTGTACATTTAAGATGGTTCAGATGGGATGGGCACAGTGGCTCATGCCTGCAATCCCAGCACTTTGGGAGGCCAAGACGGGAGGATTGCGTTAGCCTTGGAGTTTGAGACCAGCCTGGGCAACATAGCGAGACCCTGTCTCTATTTGAATTTTTTAAAAAATGGTTAAGATGGTAAATTTTATTGTGTGTTTTACTGAAATTTAAAAAATAAATGTTTTAAAAAGTATTGTAGAAAACACAGCAAAATCCCATCTCTACAAAAAATGCAAAAAAAATTAGCGAGGCATGGTGGTGCATGTCCAGCTAATCGGGAGGCTGAGGTGGTTGGAGTGCTTGAGCCTGGGAGGTCAAGGCTGCCATGAACAGAGATCATGCCTGGGCAGCAGAGCAAGAACCTGTCTAAAAATATATATATATTTCAAAAGGTTTGACTAACAAAGAGGCTGTACCTTGCACTTTGACTGTTGCAGACGTTGATGTGGTCCCGTGGTCATTTGTTGCTATGCAGGTATAAATCCCACTGTCTTGGGGCATCAGATTACAGATCTTCAGGGTGATTTCTCCAGAATCACTAGGGACACCAAAAGGATGCTCTTCAGACTCCAGTAATGAGACACTTGACTGCTGGGTAAAATCCCATAGGGTTGGCCCATGGTGTGCTGAGCTGAGAGTCCTCAGGCCCGAGGTCAGTCCCTGGTCTGTGAGCTACCTACCACCCTGTTTCTCTACATCCCCAGTTCCTTATATGGAAAAAAATTTTCTGGCCATGCCCATCTCTCAAGTTTGTTGTACATGAGGGATAAAATAAGGAATAAAATGACATAAGAATTAGAGCATTGTTTGAAATATATAAAGTTGTATGCAAGTTCTGGCTCATAGTATTATTAGTATTATTACCACTAGCAACTTTGTCCTAGAATATTTTCAGTTTCACAGATCGATAATGAATGATGGAAAAAAAAAAAGGAAAGACTCAAGAATAAAAATATTTTAAGTATTTCAAATTCTAGATGTGGGATCCTCAAAATAATTAAGTGAATTTCTAAGAAAGAGTAAATTCCATCACCTAAATGATAACTTCCCCATTCACCCCAATACAAGGTCCAGGAATATCCCCAGGGGAGAACTGCTCTGAAATACAGAAGTCACAGTCAGCTCTGCCCCTTCCCTAGGGTTATGATATCCCCTGGCGCTTTTCATGATCCTCACCAACCACTGCGTCTCACACTAGGCTTCTTGGACCCACTGATATTTTATGACCTGGCCTCTTTATGGTCTCTGCTGGGAATACCAAGGAATGATGGTCTTCTTCTTTTTCCCATACACACAAATTAAGTCAATGAATGAAAGTTTCTTGATTCTAGGTGCTTCTTCCACTAATGTTTCTCAAGCATCTAGGGCTTGCTACCACTTGTCCACTGTAAGCAACAGTACACAGTCCAATTCATAGTTAGTAACAATAAATGCTGACACAATGATTGGGAGGCAGTCAGCTAAGTTTTGTTAAATGGACTCTGTGTGTAGAAGCATCCTTGCGGCTTGATTTTCTATTGCACATTTTAGAATTAGTCGTTTCTTTTTCTAATAACACTGTTCTTAGGTGAGGAATTAAACATCTCACTGTTTCACAGCAACCTGAAAGGCACAAAAAATGTCAGGATGTCCAGATGTGAGGATTACATTTTTACTACAGGTCTGGAGCCTTCGCCACTTAAATCAGAAGTCTAAATCTTCTGACTTAGAGATTCACTTGGGGATCTGTAGGGAAAGATCATCTACCAGGGTGAATGTAAGGCAGTGACTGTAAAAACTCTTCATAAGTATGGTGCATGCTTGACTTGAGATATAAAGGTTTATGTTTTTCCCTATTTGTTTAATGTGGGTCTGGAGCACAGTCTTTACAAACCATTCTGTTGATCCCAGGTATGTCTACGTGGTGCTGAGCACCGTGGGAAATGTGTGCTGGTGCTGCTGCAGGTGTCCATCAGGCTGCAGCGTGAGTGGCAGAGGCTCTGACTAACACTTGAGTCTCCTCAGTCTCTCTCTAATCAAGTCCAAGTGTTTGCCCAAGAACAGGCTCCAGGGCAGCTATTCTCTTGCAGAGCCCAGTCACCAGAGCAGAAGTTGCACCCCAGATTCAGCCTCTCAGTGCTGTGTCAAGCAAGGGGCTGCTGTTGCTGATGTTAGGGCAATCGGCTTACCAAGAGGAGACCGTGTATGTGGCTGAGCTGTTATCAGTGTCAAGGATGTTCTGGTCTGGACCCTTCCAAGTGATGGTGGGCTTTGGCCGCCCACAGACTTTGCACTGCAGTATCACTGTGTCCCCAAGCAAGCAGGTCACATCCACCAAGGGCACAAGGAATTCTGGGGCCACTGTGATCAAATCAACATACATTAACATCATTCAGAGCAAATTTAGAATAAAATGGCCATTTTGTTTTAACACACCTCTCTCATTTCCCACCCATGTCATGTAATGATTCAAATAACCTTCAGTATAACACTGGTGAGTCATCTGGGTCTCTTTAAAAAGTGTTTAAAAGAGATAACTGTTTATTATAGAAAAAAATAGGAAATATAAACAGAAAGAAAGAAAAGCTCCATAATGTCATAATCCAGAGATAATTACTGTAGGCATTCTGGTATATACCCTTTTGGGCTTTATATAAACAGACTTCTTATAAAACTTGGATCCCATTATACATATCGCAAGCTTTAGTCTTTTTCATCTAATAATTTATCATAAACCTCTTTCCTTGTCCATTGATACAGAACTATATCACCATTGCTTACAGCCAGTGCTTTAGTGCTGGATTAACTATAATTTATTTAACCAATCCCCATGTTTCCAATTCTAATGCTTTTTAACTCACCTTCTTGGATGAAATTTGGATTTAAGATCTGAAAAACAAAAAGACACAGAAAATTGCTTGAATCCTAAACTACTAAAAGAGAACAAGGGACTTCACCGTATTGAGTAAAAAGAAAGTACAATTTAGGGAGATGAGGCCTGGAGCCCAACTTCCCACTGTGTTGTGACTGTATTACTGTCACATTAGTAAAACCTCTCTTTAGCAACAATTGGCACTTGGTTTACTCTGTCTAATTCAGTTGTTCACATTCCTGCCTGGCAGCGTGCGGCCCCAGGCAGGTTTATTGTAACTTGGAGCTCTGCTAGCAGAGGTCTTTCTGTCCTCCCTCTTCTCAGTTGCTTTTCTTCCCTTCACAGGCAGAAAACCCACTCTCTTGGTCATTATGCACACAAGCAGTGTGGTGGCACTGATTCTTCCTAGCATCATAAACTCAAAAATAGAGGACCTGAGACCTATCAAACTGGAAGGGTCATTGAAATTCACTAATACAGTGGATTCCTTCCAAATGTCCTCCCTTTACCCTTTACTCATCCCCACGCAGGGGAAACGACTCTTCAAGCAGCTAAACAACAGAGCTTCTCTGGATGAAGGGGAATAAGAGAAGTCGTCTGTCTCTTCTTTCTCAAGCATGATCTCCTATAGCCCAGGCCTGCATGGGGCAACTTGAAGCCACTGACCCAACCATTCCAACCCTTTCCACTTCATAGGTGAGAAAATGAATACTAAGTGACTAAGCCGACTAACTCTGGTCACAAGGCTGGTTCAAGGGAGGAACTGATAGGGCTCTTGGTATATACCATGCTGCCTGCCTCAGGACACCCTGGAGATTTCACAGTAGGGAAAACATTTTAGCCAACTAGCCATTCTGGAAAGCTACATCTTCTTGAGGAGATGGTCACTTTTCCCCCCATCTTTTGTATTACCACTAATCATCCATGTCCAGATTGTACAGCCTGGCATTGTTTTAAAAAAGCACGGACTTTGGAGATAGGCTGAGGTCATCTGTTTTGTTTAATGTGATTGTATGTTAATTACGTAATAACTGATGTTCCACTATAATATGGGGATAAATAATACCTAGTGTAAAGTGTTATCACAAAGATTAAATAAAATCTTGTACATCAAGTGCTTAGCACAATGCCCGGCAAATAACAGGTACTCAATACCTATTTAAATAAAGATGATCTCATTTTAATCATCTTCCTTCTGCTAAGCAGACTGTTATTAAAGTGGCTTACCTTTAATAGCTTATTTGGCAAAATTCTTCTTTCCTTTATCATGAAGCCAGAAAACTCACAAGCCTTACAAAATAGCCCAACTGGGGCCTCTGCACTTATTTCCCTGTATGTATGCATATCTTTGTGAACATGCATGGTTTCTGTGTGTTCTTCCCTTATAGAGGAATCCATATAAACCCTTTGGAAGAAAGACATTATTTCCTTCTTTGCGTTCCCCTTTGCAAATCAAGTGCCTGCTTATACCACCCAGGTTTTCTAAAAAGTGGGCTGCAGAAAACCCTTGTGAAGCCAAGTTCTGGGCTGAGTGCCCCAACTCTGGCCATTGCAATGCCCTCTGCTAGTCTCAAAAGACCACTTACACCTCTGCTTAGCCTATCTTTAAATCAGTGGTTCTCAACGCCTGACCTGGGCAGCCTTAAAAACACGAGAGGCTAATGCCTGGGCCTCATGCCTAGAGATTCTGTTTTAATTGGTGTGAGGTGGGGCCTGGGCATTGGGATTTTTTTTAACTCTCTAAAGCGAATCAACATGCAGCCTTGTTTAATGAACCTGATGAAAGTCCCCCTCTATTCCAGGGAACTGATCTTGGATAAACCAACTTCCTGCCCCGGAGGCTTTTCTGGGGTGGGATGGGGGAGTGGATGAGAACATCTGGTAGAACCTACTGCATTTCCCACACCTAAAAGAGTTCTCTGTGTGAAAAGGTTTCGAGGCATGGCATGGGGAAGGATGTAAAGGGTTGCTCCACTCAAACTATTAAATCAACCACGAGCAGCACTGCATCACCTGTAGGGGGGCACTAAAGAGGCCAAACATTTCTCTTCCTGGTTTGGATAAGGCAGGGAGAATGGCATCCCAGTCAGTCATTTGACAGTCAAAGAAAAGAAGGCTAAGAATATTTTCTAAATGTTAACAGTGGTTATCTCAGGGTGGTAGGTTTAAGGGTGGCTTTGTCCCCATTCAAAAAACATTAACTGACCTTGTCATACTCTCTAAGTACAGTTTTGTGGGTAGAGAAATACTAAGACATAGGCTCTACCCTTGGGATTTATAAAGCATCTTGATTTGGGGTGACTGTTGTTTCCTTTCTTTTCTTATGTGGGCTTCCCAAATATTCTGCAATCAGCATGTTTCGCTTTCTTTATTTAATTTATTTATTTATTTTGAGACGGAGTTTCACTCTTCTTGCCCGGGCTGGAGTACAATGGTGTGATCTCAGCTCACCGCAAATTCCGCCTCCCCGGTTCAAGTGATTCCCCTGCCTCAGCCTCCCGAGTAGCTGGGATTACAGGCATGCGCCACCATGCCCAGCTAATTCTGTATTTTTAGTAGAGACGGGGTCTCGCCACGTTGGTCAGGCTGGTCTTGAACTCCTGACCTCAGGTGATCCGCCTGCCTCGGCCTCCCAAAGTGCTGAGATTACAGGCATGAACCACCACGCCCGGACTCACTTTCTTAATAATTATTTTTGAAGGAAAAATACAGCACGGTCGAACCTATTAGACTATAAGCTCTTCAAAGACAGGAAGTATTTGTCACTCACCTTTGTACCTCAGGGCCCTAGCCCAAGGGTCTGTCACATAAAGGGTATTTAATAAATGTTGGTGAATACATATTTGACCTTTGACTTCATTTCAGACCTTCCAAGAACTTATGAACCAGTAATTAAGTCTTATTCGCAATCTTTCTTTCCAGTGTCTCTGCTAAGGACTACACTCAAATTAGGAATATTTGCTTTTGTTTGGGCATGGTGGCTCACACCTGTAATCCCAGCACTTTGGGAGGCCCAGGCGGGCGGATTACTTGAAGTTCGCATAAGCTACTCACAAACTCCTTCATGTGCTCCTCCAAAACCCTGGAGGAAGTGCAGAGCAAATGTTATGTATCCCCATTTCCTAGGTGAGATAGGGAAGTGAAGTGTTAAGATCACAGTGACAGAGGACTGGCTCCGAGAGCTCTTGAATTTTATTCCAGTGCTCGTTCCATCATAGCATTCAGCAAAGTGGGAGGGTCTTAGGAAAAGCATTGTGAAACTTTGTCATTGACATCAAAGGCCTACCTGCTTATCTTTGCTCTCCACCTCTCTATCTATCCTATCTCTACTCAGTCCTTTAATTTAAAATCCTCCAGCAAGGACCAAGAGCCTGGGCAAGGTCCACACTAATGTTTTTTTTCTAACTTTGACTCTGGACTACGGTCATAGAAGATTCCTCCCTCATTTTTTCTCTTTCTTCTTTGAAGCAAATCAGAGTACGAACTGGAGGAGAACACCCTTCTCACACAGTAGACTAATTACCGATATATTTGTCTGTGGCTCCCTATGGACTGCAGGGCCCATGAGGACAAGGACCATATTGTTTTATTTATTATTACTTTTTATTTATATTCTTAAATTTTTTATTTTCTCTTTTTTTGAATTCTAATGGGCCATATTGTTCGCTAGTATTGCCTCCAAGCTTAGCATGATACCTGGCACATATGTGCTCTGTTGATATTTGTCAAATCAATGAAAAGCTTAAGTGGTGGGATCCTAATTTTGGGGAGGAGAGCTGAGAAAATGTCCTGCCATGAACTTGCTCAGGAATCTAATCAGTCAGTCAATGTCTGAGATGTAGCCAATAGTGATCTTCCTCCTCTGCACTCTTCTAGGGGCTGTAGGTACCTCTAAGTCTCTGACCATGAACTGCTAAGTACCATAACGTCTTACTGAACTGTATTTGCCCTACCAGACTTGTGAACCTTTTGAAGGTAGTAACCCTTTCCCGTGTTTTATGCACCATCAGTCATAAATTTTTTTTGCTATGAACCATCAGTCATATTTTTTTTTGCTATGAGTCTTGCACATAGCAGAAAAATCAAATATTTGTTGAATGAAATTAACTGAAGTCACCCAATTAGTAGACTAGAAATTAGGCTTCCTGACCACCTTGTCTAGTGGTCATTGCTGGTGTGTGCAGGATCCTGAGGGCTTTATATAAGCTGCACATTTTTCTTGAAATATAATGTTTTCCTTCCTTAGAAACAGGTTGGAGTCAATGTAAAATGATAGATGGGAAGGAGGAGAGAGCTGGAATCCAAAATAGTGGTTGTGGGCTGGGTA
Organism: Homo sapiens; assembly: GCF_000001405.40. Classification (NCBI taxonomy): domain Eukaryota; kingdom Metazoa; phylum Chordata; class Mammalia; order Primates; family Hominidae; genus Homo; species Homo sapiens. The sequence continues at coordinate 124,689,493 of NC_000003.12, read as the reverse complement.
TGGTTGCTCACGCCTGTAATCCCAGTACTTTGGGAGGCTGAGGCAGGAGGATCACTTGAGCTTAGTTCAAGACCAGCCTGGGCAACATAATGAGACCTCATCTTTACTAAAAAATAAAAACAAATGAGCTAGGTGTGGTGGTGCACAGCTACTCGGGAAGCTGAGGTGGGAGGATTGCCTGAGTCCAGGAAGTTGAGGCTGTGGCAAGCCAAGAAAGTGCCACTGTACTGGGCAACTGTTGCCTGGGCAACAGAGTGAGACCCTGTTTCAAAAAAATAAAAAAAAGAAAACATAGACGAAATAGTGGTCGTGGAGGAAAGATGACATTGTTCACATAAAATGCACATGTTCTCTCTCTGTGAAACAGCACAAGAGAATGCTGGGCCAAGTCCGGGAGGACAGGGCTGGTGTAGACACCGTGGGAAAGAACTACAGGTTCCTAAAGCTGGTTTTATTTGACCAGCAGAGGGCAGCAGGTGGCAGCGCTTCCTCCCAGGCGAGAACAAGAACCACCACAATGTGATCCATCAGCAACTTAGTTTCCTTCTGGAGAGAAATCCAATAATTTTATCGTTTTTTCTTCAAAATGGCAGGGCAGTCAGGTAAGAGGAAAGAGTTACAGGTAATATTAACCAGCACTGACTACCATAAGCTGAGCTTTGAGGAAATCTTGGCGTCTATTTTCCTTGTCAGCCAATGTCTGACTGACTCTAAGACTTAAGAGTGAGGGTGAAATTCTGTCTAGAAAATGAGTTGTTAACTGACTCCAGAAGAAAAAGACCTCCACTCCCATTTTTCCCAAATTCCTTATCACAGTCACAAAACAGAGCTCAAAACTACGTATTGAGAACACTGAAGGAATAAAAACGCTCAAATAAACATAAACCAAATACCCTAAACCCAACTGACAGCTGCCCAGAATATATTTCTATATTTTTCCTTTTTCTATTCCTTTTACACTTGTTTCATATGAACCTGTATTCAGAGTAGGCAGGAAAGGAATTTTAGATGATGAGATCTAGCAATAAAATAAAGATATAAGAAAAACAATTTTTAAGAATTTAGGTATAATAGTAGGGTTTGAAGGTTTAACCCTTCGTGTTTTCAATCTGGCCAAACTGGACTCGAATTTCTAAAGTTTTAGAAAATATTCCTACCTCTGCTCTTTTTTTTTTTTTTTTTTGACAGGGTCTCACGCTGTTGCTCATGCTGGAGTGCAGTGGCATGATCACCACTCACTGCAGCTGCAAGTTCCTAGGCTCATGTGATCCTCCTGCCCCAGACTCCCTGAGGAGCTGCGACTACAGGTGAACACAGCCACATCCAACTAATTTTTTCTATTCTTTATAGAGATGGGGTCTCGCCATGTTGCCCAGCTGGTCTTGAACTCTGGGCCTCAAGTAATCCTCCCACCTGTGCCCGCCCAATGTGCTGGGATTACAGGTATGAGCCACCACACACAGCCTCCTCTGCTCATTTCTAAATGAGCATAAGACAAGCTGTAATTTTAAAAAATGTAAATGCAACATAATCCCAAGCAGCGATAGACTTGTCTCTTTCAACTAGTTCCTTACTCCCAAGTATTTTCGTTATCATTTAGTTCTAAGTGTTTTTCTTCAACTATGATTTTTTTCTTTTACCCAGTTGTAATGAGTATGTTTTTACATTTCCAAAGATGTGAGATTTTTAAAAAGGATATTTTTGTTGATGATTTCTAACTTAATTGCATTGTGCTTGGAGGACTTGGTCTGTATGATACTGATTCCTTGTTTTTTGTTGAGGTTTGCTTTGTAAGTAGCACACATGGTCAATTTTTGTAAAAAAATTCCATATGGTTTTCCAAAAAATGTATAATCATTAATTTGGGGGTACAGGTCTCTATATGTGTCCATGTGTCAAGTACATTGATTGTTTTATGGATATTTCTAGTCCAAATATCCCCCTTTACCCCTCAATATTTTGGTTAGAGAACATTTAGTGTGCTGTCAAAAATAAAAAGGATGAAAATATGGCTTTTAACAGAATAATGAAAGCATCTATCACCCATCTCACAAGATAGTTGGTTGCAAAGGACCAAAATGGGGGTGCGTTGCTGTGTATGCACTGGTCTCCAGCTGCTCCTGGCAGCCTAGGAGTCAGTTAGGAAGGGACTGGAGGTGGGGGGCTGAGGAGGATGCAGTGGTGGAGTTACAGCTTCTTCTTTATAAATCACATTTCCAACCTAGCCATGACCTTGACTTTGGATAATGCCTTTATGTATGAGTGTTTTGGAGTCTTATCCCTTAATGATTTGGCCCTGATTATGCCCTGATTATGCCCCAATCCCCTAAACTTCCCAGAGTCTTCGGAGCTATGTAACAGATTAACATTTGTTCTGAGGACCCAGTGCCATGGCTCATGCCTATAATCCCAGCACTTTGGGAGGCTGAGGCACGAGGATCACTGGAGGCCAGGAATTCAAGACCAGCCTGAACAACATCGGGAGAACCCACTTCTAAAAAAATTTAAAAATTAGCTGGCCATGGTGGCACGTGCCTGTAGTCCCAGATATTCAGGAGGCTGAGGGTGGGAGGGTCACTTGAGCCTGGGAGGTTAGTGCTGCAGTGAGCCGAGATCATGCCACTGCACTCTAGCCTGGATGACAGAGAAAGACCCTGTCTCAAAAAAAAAAAAAAAAAAAAAAAAAAAAAAAAAATCTCACCAGTGTTTGCATAGATGCTGGTTACCTTCCTAAAGCACAGGACGAATCATATGGACTGCTTAAAACCTACTGCTGTTCCTTGGAGTCCATGGATCAAGTCCTGGCTTCCTAGCAGGTCCTTCCATGCCTTTGTTGTCTGTCTGGTCTCAACCCATCTGCCAGGCTTTATCTCCTACAGCTCTTCCTACATAACTAACCCCAGGTACTCAGACCATATACCTGCTCAGCATGTGCCAGGCACCTCCCACCTCAGGGCTTTTGTTCATGCTCTCTCCTCACCCTCTGCCTTCTCTAAGACTGCCCACATCCTATTAGTTCATCCAACCCACACACTGCTGCCCAGTGAATCAATGACCACACTCATAGGCTCCCTGGGAGACAGGCTACCTAAGAATACACAGTCCTGGGAAAGTCACTTAACCTCACTGTGCTCCAGTTTTCTCATCTATAAAGTGGGAATAACGCGAATAGTACCTATGTGATGATGTTGTTGGGAGCTCAGCACAGAGCCAGTTACACAGGAAAGACTGCTAAGTAGTAGCTACTATTATTGTGAGCCCAGTGCCTGAGTGGGTGCATAAATATCCACAGAATGAATAAATGGCTCCAGGCAGGATTAATCAGTCCCTCACCATGACTGTTAGAGCAGGTTTTAAAGTTTGCTGTGTAACATGGGCATTTATTTATACCTGCCTCCTTCTTATGCTTCTTAAGCCTTAAGCATGGGAACCAATCTTACATTGTTCGTTAGTCCTCCATAATAATCACTGCAATGCCTTGTGTTAATCAAATTGTGTGAAATTGAACTGACTAGGAACTCACGCTGAGTGAACTTTGACAGCATGGGGGTGGGGTTGGGGGGTGATGGTCTTTGCTTCTTCAATAGCAGGCTCTTAGAGGAACTTCTGGGTCAATGGTACCTTGTAATCTCATTAGTGTACAACGTAAACGAAACGGGTTAGGCCCCCAGTCTAGGGTGAGGGTGCGATGGAACATGCATGACAGGGCGTGCTGAGTGACTATGTTGACCTGAGAAACCAGTTCAGACATTTCCAACTCATGTAATTGGACTTCCTTTCTTGGTTGCTCTGGCTGGGCTCTTGAGTCATTGAGAAAGGGCGTGGGTGAGGCCAAGTAATTATCCCAATAGTCAAGAGATTTGAAAAGTTGTTGAAGAAATTCTCCTCCTAAAACAGATGTGCAGCAAAAGAGGGCCTGAGCCTGACCCTTGTTAAGAAAGTACTTGAGCCATACGAGTAGACTTCCTCTACAGCACATGCTAAGTTTGGTCTCTCAAAGCACCACCATCAAGACTTGCTCTTTTTATTAGCTGTATGACCTTGACCTCCCTGAACATGTTTCCCCCAGGAGGGTGAGAAACTCTACCCTACTTACTTCACAGGGCAATTGCAAGGAACAAAAAGCATAATAGATGTGAATCTGCTGTGGACGATCTTCTTAAAATTCTCCCAGGAGAGGGAAGCAGCCACTAAGCTCAGCTCCCTTCTCTTGGTGGCGGAATATAAATCGGTCTGCATGGAGAGTCAGAACAAAGCCAGGCAGGAAGTCTTCAAGCCACACCCTTCAGATATATTACAAAGAAAATATTTTGCAAAAATAAAACGACAGGAATGTGATGCTTCACTTTCTTTTCATCCAAAGGGTTCTTTTCATGAAAAAATTCTTTTTATAAAATGCGGAACCAGGCATCAGTGGACACACACTGGGGATGCCAGGAGGTTGGTCACCTGGCTGGGGGTGTAAAAGTTTCCTTCAATCCGTCTGGCCGGGTTATTTTGAAGCTCTAGGATAAGGAGGCCAGAGTAGCTGATGTGGTAGTTGGCGGGGAGTGGGGTGCGGGGAGTAGGCTGGCTCTTCAGATCTGAGGACATGAAAGGCGGGCCAGGGAACTGTAGGTTTGAGGAAGGAAAAAAGTACCAGCTCTGGCCGCTCAAACTTCCCAGAGCCAGGAGTGGACACTCCAGTTGAGTCTCAGAAGGAAATCTGCCCAGGCCATTCCCGCCACACCCCCTGAAAAGTGAATTGCTGGCCAAAGCACAGAATCTTCCACGTCCTCTTCGGTCGGGATCTCAATGTTTTCAAAGTCAGAAGTGCTGGAGAGCAAAGTCCTTTGTTAGCACACCTTAGACGTGCATGGTGCTCAAAGGGTTACACATCACTGTATAAACACCTGTACACTTGGAGCTGTGCAACTTTCCAGAGGAACTTGGGGCTCAGAAAGGCTAACTGGCCAGCAGTCTCATAGCTGGCGGTATCCAAACTAGAATCCAGGTTTTTGACTCCTGTTCCAGTTTTCCATGTGATACTGCCTTTGTGGTTTTTGTTTAAGTTACACTTCAGCCTCGGAAAGCCAAGATGGGCAGAAATGATATTCCTTTTTATTGAGCTGGAAAATGGAATAACACACTTATACACAAAAATTGGCACTAGGAGTTAGGTCTTCTCGTCTGCCAGGATCTGTGTTTTAGGTTAAAATCAACCTGGAGATGGGGTACCAAGTGGCCGCAGGATGGTGTAGGTGGGGGAATAGCAAGCAGAAAAACCAGAAGCTGCCTCAGAAACTAGAGCACCTTCCAGTTTTCAAACAGAAAAGGACAAGTTCCTGTGGCTCTGTTAAAGGTGAAGGGGCTGCAGGGATGGAGAGGAATAGAGAGTTGTTTACTGGGTCCACTAAAGAATTTCTGTTTGCGATGATGAAAACGTTCTGGAAATGGATAGTGGTGATGGTGGTATAACATTGTGAAGGGACTTAATGCCATTGAACCACACACTCAAAAATGGTTAAAATGGTAAATTTTTGTTATGTATATTTTACTACAAAACATAAAAATAAATAAATGAAGAGGTTAACTAAATGTTTCCCAGGTTCTGTTTATTCTGAAAGTGTGATTCTTACTCCAATGGGGAATTTCCTCCAAAATCAGCTTCACCTTCCCAAGTGCTTTCTCTCTCTAATCTTTCAGAGCCCTCTCCCAGAAGATCCCAACACTGTTTTTAACTCCCCAAGCTAAATATCTGGTGGCTGGTATATGACTGAGGATAACGTCTGCACTTAGTCTGTGTTGTGGATGAGGCCAGTGGCATGTTGAATGGCTGGGGCAGAGGCAGGGTCTTTTTGGAATGATGACAACCTCTCACTCTGATGAACTGACTTTCTCTGCTACAAGAGGTATTGGGTTTTGTTTTGTTTTAGTTAAAATGCATGTAATTACTTGAGCTTGGTGTAAAAACTGGGCTGAGAATCCTTATCCTTGAAGGCCCAAGTCAGGGAGGCTAGTTCAGGACTTTCAACCCCATCCTGTGATGTAGGCAGGTGGCAATGCTGGGGCTAGGGGGCAGGTACAAAAACAGAAGTGAGCATTGACACAGTTCTCAGACAACTTTTCAAAGGTGGAAACCTGCCTCACCTGGGTCCTAAGAAAAACCTAGTATAGGCCAGATGCTGACCCTGAACACGTGAGCCTGGGGTGTCAGTGCAGATACCGGGGTAGAGACAAGACTGAAAAAGGTGGTGGCTGGGCATGTGGTTCTCAGCCCTGCAAAAGGCACAAGGCAGTCTAACCTTACTGGAAAAAATGAATTACTATTAACCTGTTCCTAAGGTACCCTTGTGTTTGGTTTTCAGCTTGGTTTGACTCTTCTTCCATGTAGAAACATCTCTTTCATGTATGATGCCCCCCTTTCACCCCCACCCCAAAGTTTAATCAGTACAAGGTAAAGAAGTAAGCTGAACTATGGATGATACTCGTCATCTTTAGAACAGTTCTCCATGAGGTATGGTCACAGATCAGCAGGAGACTTGGCTGCAGGAGACTTGGCCACGAGGGGATGGCATAGACCTAGAGCCAATCTTGCAGTGGCATTGGTGTGGCATGTACTGCTGGGAGTAGGAGTTGTACTTGAAAACATTCACAAGCAGGGGAAGGAAAAGGATGTAAACATTAGAGCAGAATTACCTCCCTTTACCTAATTGGGTATTCTTGGAAAGCTTTGTAAATCTGACTCCTAGGATTCAAGGTGCTTTATTTTCTTCTTAATTAACCTTCAAGGATGCGCCTGTATATCTCCCCAAAACACCATGGTGGGACAAATGCCAGCCTGAAGGTAGCAAGCAGCCAGTGTGTAAGTAAAGACCCCAGGAAACTGCCCTTAAAGGAACCATTTGGTCCACTTATTGAGAAAAAGTAAAGAATGTTTTGGTGACATCATTCCCATGCAGGCAGGAGATGAGAGCCTATGCACAGCTAGGGCTGGGATCAACAGGCTGGCCTCAGGTTAAAGGGAGTCAGTCAGGGCAGGATTTAACATCTGGAGATCTAGCACGGAGTGAACACACAGGGTGCATGGTCCCATTATGTCAGCTGGGGTTCCAGGAACAGAGACACCCTCAGCACAGGATTCAGCTCACTAAGAGTAACAGACACATTCCCAGAGAGACAACGCCCATTGCAGCATCAAGTTCAGAAGACAAGGGTGAGGTTGGGGGCCAGGCTGGGTCTGGGAATGATGCCCCAAATGACCACTTGAATAGTGAGAGGCCTTCAAGAGGTGGCCTGCTCACCTATATTTCAATTTGGATCTTTAAGGTATAGCCTCTCTCTTCAGTATGCACTCCTCATCATTTTCTTCTTCTGCAGTGTACATTGCAATAAGGTTCTACTTACACATGCCTTGAGAAAATTCTCAACTCATGTTGATCAGTTTAACTTTCTATATCTTATTTATTTGCATCTGAAAATACCAAACTAGCAGTGCCAAGTTGCCTGCTTTCCCTCTGGACTTGCTCATGTGCTCAAAGTTAATTTGAAGCTGGCAACACATTCAGAGAATGACTGAAGTTTAGGCCAGGTGCATTGGCTCACACCTGTAATCCCAGCACTTTGGGAGGCCAAGGCAGGCAGATCACTTGAGGTCAGGAGTTCAATACAAGCCTCGGCCATGTGGTGAAGCCCTGTCTCTACCAAAAATACAAAAATTAGCCAGGCATGGTGGTGTGCACCTGTGGTCCCAGCTACTCAGGAGGCTGAGGCGGGAGGATCCCTTGAGCCAGGGAAGCAGAGGTTGCAGTAAGCCGAGGTCATACCACTGCACTCCAGCCTGTGTGACAGAGACTCCACGTCAAAAAAAAAAAAAAAAAAAAAAGACAATCACTGAAATTTAAAAGGATGTATATGTAATATATAAGGGCTACATCCACACATACTGGGGATATTGCTGCTTCCAACAACATGCCTCCTTGAGGTTCCAGCTACTTGAAAGTTTGTGCCTAAAGGAAACTTTGTGTCTCAACTACTGTATTTGAAAACTTTTCGGACATGCATCAACACAATTTTTGGTTTTCCTCTGTTCAGCACGAATATTCTAATGTCTTTGCTCATGCACTCCACAGCACCTCCTGAGGACCCATCTCACTCAGCCCATGCAAAGGACTAAAAGCCTTAGATGAATAAGAACCTTTAAAATGTGTTCAATTAGCAAAGCAGAGTTAAGATGTGTATATGCACACACATGTTTTTTATCTAAGTGTAGAATGGGGCATTCGATGACCCCAGTTAATTTTCTTAATGTGTGCTGCTCCCCTGGCCCCACATCCCTCTGTGCCCATTTCTTCCTACAGAGTGGGAACATCACTCTTCTCCCCTAGTCCACAAGAACTGGACAAGGTCCTAAATTGTTTCCTGGAACACAGGTACCTGGCTTTTCCCCTGCCTCTGTCTGGCCTTCCTCCACTTGCAGCTGACATCTATAATACATGCTGGCAATACTTAGGTCTGGGGATACAGGTGCCACCCAGTATCTACAAGCTGACAGGTGTGAACTCCAGGAGAGCTGGTGCCTATCCTGTGAAATGCAAGGAAAACAGAGCCTGAAATTTCCCCTGGCTTCCTTGTTCTCTAAGATACATTTAGGCTACAAATGCCACCTCCACTTTCTCCCACAGTGGGGTACGTATTGAGCCACACCTACCAGATTTAGCTCTGTGGTAATACCCACATCTACAGGGGACTACTCTATCCTGGCAGAACTCCCATTGTCAGCCGATTGCCTCGGGCCTGATTCAACTCAGTTGGCTCCTTCTGCAGCTGACTTACCGGCTCTTAGGCCTCATGATCTCTCTTGGGTTTTGTGGTGGCTGAAACAACATGGTGCTGGACTTCTCTGGGATTAGGTCAAATTAGAATAAGAATAAAAGTCTATCTAATTAAGTGAAATGTTTGGGATGATATAAATTTCTTTTTAATGTTGTCTATTTTGTACTTAGAAGAAATCTCTAAACTTGTACCCATTACTGGAGATGGATGCACAGATCTGGAGAAAAACATTCTCTGAATGAAAAAATGGCAAGGAAAGTCAGCTCCATGTTTGCCCTCATTGTCTAGGGTTTGTAAATTTATCATGGTTGTTACTCAGTGGCAAGCCACGTAAGAGCCACGTTTCTATAACCCAACAGACTGGGAGTTGGAAGTGGAATGGATGTTCTTGTTGATACAGGCGTTGGTTCCACTCCCACATCCCTGTAAGCCTGGGGTGCGAGAAATGTCCCCTGGGCAGTGTTTCCATCTCACCATCTCTGGAGAGGCCTCTGCCGTGGCTCCAGGAGACAGGCCCTCCCCAGGGCTCCTTTTCCTTCACACGGTGGGCACAGCCACTGCTCACGGGCCCAGCACTGGGCTGAAGTGTGCTCTGGAGTTGCTACAATTACACCTTATTTGCTATCAGCTCTACATAGCAACCAGGTGCCATACTTCACCCGTTATTTTTCTGGAACACTGAGCAGGGAATAAAACCCAGTAGAAGAGCAAGATGAAGAGGATAAAGGGCTAAAGAAAAAGAAGCGGAGGAGGGGAAAACAAAAGCGGGAGAAACTAAACACGAAATGAGTCCTTGTCATTTAGCTGGGACTCATCCACTCTTTACAGTGCTGTTTTCCATGAAAAAATGTGTTCTAAGTTTCAAATAATGAAATTGGATATTTTCTACATAAAGTCAAACCTGCCAAAGGAGAAAATATTTAGCAAGCATTCAAGATAACAAGTTTTTGTTTTTTAAAAAAATCTAGGTAGAGTTTTCTACCAACACTGAACTGAATTATGTTTTTGTTTGTTTCTTTTATAGCTGGGATGGGATACCCAGAGATGCCCCAACATCACAATTTATCTTTGAATGGCTGGTCATTTTAGCAAGGTCACTGTTACAGAACACATCAAAAAAGGCAATCATTGTAGGAAATAGGACAACAATAGCTGCTTCTACCTCCATGCTAGTATTAGGGTCAAGATCATCACACTCTGATTCCTCGGAACTGTTCGTCTCCTTGATTGGCAGCATGAGGAAGGGGGAAGAAAGAGAACACAGTTAGAACACAAGTAGCTTTTGCTAGAGAGAGAGGAGAACTTCAGAGAAGCATGGGCGATGGGATCTTGGGCAGAGAAAAAACCAGGTGTTTTTAAAGTGGGGGTGAGAATCACCAGGGGCAGCAGCATGCTCTTTTCAGGGAGAGGAGGCGGGGGTTGTGTACAACTGCTTATCTCATGGGAAACAGCAATGGAAGCAAAATGAAGCATGAGTGTTGTCGAATTTAAACTGTTGTCTTCTGTGAGGCTGGACTTCCCAGATGAGAGTGAAGGAGAGTATACAATTTCTTTTCCCCAAGAAATCTCTTAGACTGGGTTTTAGTTGTTCTTACTTTGCTAAGGAAGGGAAACAAAGTTCCAGGTAGATGATCACACATTATAGCATAATTAGTGCTATAATAATCAGTGTCTAGTTTCCATTGTCCATTGGTCCATTGGCAGATCTTTCCAGAGGTTCCAATTTAAAGAAAGCAGATGACATTGTTTCAAGATGGGGGTAAATAAGAGTCTGCCAAGCTTAGAATTCATGAGTTCAAAGTAGTAGATGGATTATTTAAAGAAATAATTTGGGCTTCACCAATGTGCCCCCCTACTGTGTCCATGCAAGTAAAATGGCCTGAAGTTGATGTTGTCTGAACTCTGGGGAAAAGAAATGAAACTTTACTAAGGACACAGTGGCCCTTAAATTCCAAACCTCAGCCTTCACAGGGTTGGGGGTTTGGAAGGCATCCCTAATTGCTTTACCCTGTGTGTATTCTCAAACCTAGGGTACCAAATGGCAGCTTTGATAAATTTAATATGAATCAAGCATCTCACATTTTTAAGAGAATGCTGCAGATAATTTTGCTGTAAAACATCTGCACAGTATAAAGAGAAAGGTATAAAAGAAAAAAAAGGTACTTACTTGAATTGAAGTTGCCAGGAGAAATAAAAGATAAAAAATAAATTGATCTTGCATGCAAAATCCTGCTAAACTACTTCCCCTCTGGTACCCATACTGGGAAAAAAAAAAAATAACCCATCCACCCAAATTGGCTTGTGAGAATGCTGCAGGGTGGGAGTGGATGACAGGTGGGGACGCAGCTCCGGAATACCTTACTCACTTTAACAGAGACTTTGTTGCCCAGAATATCCTTGGGTTTACGAGGCCCTGTGGCTTCATTTTTACCCGTGTTCTCCACTTCCGCCCGCTTTCTCATGCGTAGAGTATGCCATGAACATGACTTCCTGTTGTACCAAAAAATGCACCAATCAAAATGGCAGGTCAGGGACAGCGATGTGGAGGGCGGGCTCACCACCCTTGGGTGAGTCAGCAGGTGAGGTGCTCCATCAAGCCCGGGCTTCAGAGGCCCCAAACCTGCACACCAGCTCCAAGGGTGGCTGGCGGCTGACCTCGCCTCCAACTGGAAGTGAGCAAGGATGAACTCTGACCTCCCCTGGTAGATGTGCAAGGTTGACTACGGCATTTAAAGAAAATATGAATGCTAGGTTACTAAACTCTAATAAGGGAGTTTGTATACCATACCCATGATGCCTCACAGGACTGAGGAATTCCTCTTGAGAAGGGCACGGTGGATGGGTGAGGAAAGGGGGCGAAGAGTAGAATAGGAAAGTCAAGGGAAGTATATTCTAGAATGCATATGCTACTGACACTTTCCCAGGACCAGACAGAAAGACCTAAAAGGATGACATTGAGAGTTCTACCTCATGATTTGTATTTGGGCAGGGCCACTCCCAAACAATGTTGATCAGACAGGATTTTCTGTGGCAGACATTTGCTTAATAAACAGTTGAGCACCACTCATTTACCTGGATATTTTAGGGCAAAGAGTTTCTCGGTCTATATTCTCCATATCACTCAGTGTTTGTGAATATATGGCTTTGTCAGCCTGTAGAGGTCCTAGAGCTTCCCTATTGGGACAAGAACTAATGTGTGCTCCCAGGGAGGTGAGAGCAGCAATGGCTTTTCAATAGGCCTTTCATCCTAACTTCTTTCTTCCCACAAAGGGTCTTGGGAGCAACTTCTTCACAGACCTATGAAGACAAGCTCAGAGCAGAGCCCTTACATTCCATAAATATCAGATCTCAAAGACAGAGATACCAAAAGCCAAGTCACAAACAGCATCAGTGACCCTGAGCAGGCATCATCAGTTTCAGGTGAGGTCACAGAGCTTGAATGAAGTTCTAATTGTTGTCTGGAATAAGTAAGACGTGGCTTCCCCTCAGTATCTCCTTGTCAAAGGTGGGCCTATGCAGACAGGGCTCCATGAGATGAGCGTCCATTATGGGAGAGAGGCAGAGGAGATTTAGGAAAAGGAAGCTGCTGCAAAATACAGAGCATCCCTCCAGAACACTCCACATACATCAGGATTTTAAGGGTACTTTGAGGAAGGTGTTCCAAAAATATTTATCCGCTAACACACAGGTTCAACCTTCTGAGCAGGAAAGAGCAATCACAGTAATATTCTTGAATCTTGTGGGAAAGTGGGCTCCTTCAAAAACTCTTGTATCTCCTAACTAGTCAGGCTCTCTACTGTCCCCTGCATACCAGCACCTTGCTCCAACCGTTGTATAAGTGAGAACCAGCCATAGAAGCTAATCTTAGATGGCATCAGCCTGTTAACTTCAGACTTTGATAACTTTACTCCCAAACCCATGTCCCTGGCTCCTTCTGAGAACAACTTGAGTCAGGGAGATCCCTGCTGAAAGGACTCCCAGGGCAGGCAGCACGTTGTGTATGTGTGTGTCCTTGTGGGGGTGTGTTTCTACATTTATTAAATTCTCTGGGTTATTTAATATGCTTGGTGAAAAACTAGAAATATGAGCAATAACATTTCATGTTCAGAAGGAAGACTGAGAGTAGTATAAATGGCAGGGCAGGCTTGGTTTCATATTCTTCCCAGAAGAACTCGTCATCATGGTTTGGGGAGCTTCCATCTCTTGGTTGCAAGCCCAGGGACTGATGTGGACACAGGGTTTCAGTGACGTTTATCCTGTAGGCATCACAACCAACTCTGACCCCTGTGGTTATGGCAGGCCTTGGGGAGGGTGTGCTGAGTGTCCTCCACTGGTAAATGCTGACAACCTTTTTCAGTCCACTGCTCCCCTCCACACACACCCCCAACCCTTTTGCAAGAGCGGCTGACAAGAAATCAAAATGACCCATTTGTATTTCAATCTGCTCTCTTTTGCTCGGTCTGACATCCTTTTACCTTCCCTCCCATGGAAGGTATGGATAAGTGGCCAACAGAACCAAAGGTAGGGAGGAAGAAGTGTTTAGTGCCTGGATATTTAGAGGATAAATCATTAAGAGTTAGCTCTGCAAGTCCCCTGATTAGTAAAAACTTCAATGCTTTGAGGGCCTTTATCCCAAGGCTTACCTAAAAGGCACCCAAAACAAGTATACTTAGGATAAAATGCATGGGGGCTATTGTGCCTTAGGGGCCACTGTGGATTTTTGGCTGGGCCTGTGGTTACCTAGTGAGGCCAGGGTGATGTCAGTAGCTGCTATCCCCTGACCTAGAGGGCCAAAGCAGTGCAGTTATGCTGGTGCCACTGCTCAGATAGCTCATGGAAGCCCCCTGCACCACGTCTTCCATGGATTACTATGCAGCAGGGGAAAGCAGCGGAGAATGCCAGTCAAACACTGCCTTCTACTCTGGTCATTAATTGACATCAGCACCTCAGGGCTGCCCAGTTGCAGGGAACCAGTTGGACAGCATCAAATCTGTACCTTCCCTCATCTCAGAGGTTAGAGAAAATCAACAGGGGCTATTTAGGAGGGAAGGCCCGGGTCAGAACTTCAGCAACAAAAATACTTTTTATGTAGGAAAAAAAAATGCCAATGCATTCACCCAAATCCTAAAATACAGAAAAGGGAAAAAAAAAAAAAAAAAAAGAAGAAGAGGAGGAAAAGAAGAAGAATTGTTTGCACATTTGAAAGTCCAAGAATAGTGAAACAGGGGAAAAAGGGTCAACTAGTCTTTAACTTCATTAAAACATGCTCATGGTGAAAATTTATTTTACATATTTAAAATAGTACATTTAAACTGATTAGTTACATTACAGGTACAACGATGAGCACTGTGACGCCATCATATTGCACATCCTGACTTCATCCATATGGGTTTCTTTAAATAGTGCAAAATACTTTATACAGGAATGTGTTCGGAAGGGTCTTGCAACCAAAATAAGGAAAAGAAGTATCTTACAAATTACTATGAACATATATTCAAGTGACGGGGTGAAGGGAAATTTTTAAAAAGTTACAATCTGTACAGAGGAATTGCCACAGACAACCAAAAAGTTCCCTCCCTCCTGGGAAAAGCAGCGGGCCTCTGACCTTCACAGGTCTGGCATTTGTGCCAAGGTAATTTTTTGGTGTCAATCAAAAATATATATATATATATATATCAGTTACTTAATACAATATAAATAGAAGTCCAGTCCAGTGAGTCCTGTGGTGGGTCAAATGTGGCAACAGAAGGCACACCTTTTGTCACCTAGGGTTTCAGTAGGGTTCTTAATGAATGTGGGGGAGAAAGGGGGAAAAATGAACAGAAAATTATAAACCAAAAGGAAAGAAAAATCATCGCCACCACCAACTAAAAAACTGGATCACTCCAGCCCGGATGCCCCATGTTGCATATGGTGTCAGCACTCAAACACTGGTTCTGTGGTACTGTTGAGAATAAGCAGTAGTAATTCCCTACCATGTGTTTGCATTTTTGTGTTCTTTTGTTTGTTTCTGAATATTTTTAATCCTCATACTCCTCTCCCGGGGAAGCCAACGAGGCACTTACTTGATGCTCCCGTCACTACTTTCTGCTGCTGTGGCTTTGGTGAGGGGCGCCAGGATGCTGCCTGGGACCCAGCCCTCGGCGGCGGGGGAATGGTCGCTGGCAGGCTGGTACACCAGACACATGTTCTGCTGGTTGACGGCGAGGACCTGGACCACCTCACCTTGGCTCACACAGATTTCATTCTCCTTCAGTGCATAGTAATCTTTGATCACGGCCATGGACGAGGTCCCATTGCAGCCTCCCAGGTCGTTCTGCTGGGAGATAAGGGTGAGAGGGGCACAAACACAAGGACGCTAGTTCACATGGGCTTGCTCTGCACCCTACCCAGTGGTTCAAGGCCAAATCTCCCACTAGCAGGGTAGGCAGCAGGCAGCATTCTCTCTTGAGTAATGACATGATATTAATAAACATGCTCTGAAAGTATATTTTTTAATAGCAATGTTTCAACAATATTATCATCCAGGGTGAATGGCTCCACCCCACATAAAGGTATAAACACGCCTTTGACCTGGAAGCCCCTTCCCAGCATACAACCTTCCTGCCAGCGTTCTCTTACAAGTGAAAGGAAGAACCTGGCACTGGCATAGGGGTATGTAAGCACCTGGGCAGAATGAGGTCAGGGCAAGTGTCATGTCAGGGGTCACAATCCTTCAATGGAAAGAACACGGATTGTTTGATATTAAATTTTTCTCTTTTTGAAAGTGCGCTGGCTTTACTTTATATTCTGACCCTCTTTGAGACAGGACTAAGAATGATATCTCTGCCCAATTCAAAGGCAAGACCATGACCTACCCTTACCCAACTTCCTGCAGGCACCAGGTACCCTCCCCTACTCATTAATATAAGAGATGCTGCCCATGACCTTTTCATGTGAGTCTATTTCAGGGCAGCTGCCTCTAGACAGACTTGTAACTTTCCTAGGAGGACTGGCTGCCTCATAGAGCATGGTAAGAGCCAGAAATTCTTCAGTATATACATATATATTCTATATGCATATACATACAGGATATACATATATATTCTATATGCATATACATACAGGATATACATATATATTCTATATGCATATACATACAGGATATACATATATATTCTATATGTATATACATACAGGATATACATATATATTCTATATGTATATACATACAGGATATACATATATATTCTATATGTATATACATACAGGATATACATACAAATTCTTCAGTATATACTTTTTGTTTGTTTTTGAGACACGGTCTTGCTATGTCACCTAGGCTAGAGTGCAGTGGCAGAGTCATAGCTCACTGTAGCCTCGACTTCCCAGGCTCAAGTGATTCTCCTGCCTCAGTATCTGGGACAACAGGTGCATGCTACCGTGCCTGGCTAATTTTTTTTTTTTTTTAAAGTTTTATTAGAGATGAGTTCTTGCTATGTTGCCCAGGCTGGTCTTGAGCTCTTAAGCCCAAGCCATCACCCTGCCTTGGCCTCCCAAAGTGCTGGGATTACAGGCGTGAGCCAGCGCATCTGGCCCGATATGTTTGACAAAATGCCAAAGTGACTTCAGTTTATTCACAAAGGCAGGATTGTTTTTTAAGGTGGAAAATCATTTCCAGGTGATGTGACGGAACAAATCAGTGTGGTTACTCTAATACAGGATTGAACTTGGACACTAATAATTTTTTAATATAACCAATATAAACTAATAATTTTGAGGAGAAATAAAACTATAAAACTGGAACATGTAGATAAAAAATGTAAGTGTTCCTATTCATAGAGCCACTGAGTTCTAGAGAAAACTGAGGCCTAATGAGGTTAACTAACTCGGCTAAGGTTCTAAAGCAAGTGAGTTGCAGAACTGGGAATAGAAACCAGGTTTGCCTGATTCCTAATCTAGCACTTTTCCCATTTCTCTCCTGTTCTACCTACCTTGTAGGGGCAAAATAGCTGTGTAGACTAAGTCTATGGTTGAGTCTTTGACTCTCCTTATGGTGATGTTTGAATTGTGGATTATCGACGACAAACATTCAATCCAAGTCAGACTTCTCCCATTCACACACTGATGATCGACTTCCCTTCCACATCAGCCAATAGATGGTGAAGAACTGGGAACTTCTTTCAGTAGGTGCTCGAGGCAGATCATCATTAGAAAGGGTGAACTCTTTTTAAGGTGTCAAACACTACAGCTGTGACTTTTAGATGACGATGATCCACACTGAAACTACTCTATTTAGCAAAAATCATCCATTTTTATGATGATTTATGCCACAGGGAACTGGTATAACTCACTCAGTTTATAGGGAAAGGAAAACATAATTGAGACTAGACTGTACTTAGTGTGCTGTTCCTGCTAAAATAATCAGCAAGCATTAAAAGATGCTACTTCCTGGCCGGGTGCAGTGGCTCACACCTGTAATCCCAGCACTGTGGGAGGCTGAAGTGGCCATATCGCCTGAGGCCAGGAATTTGAGACCAGCCTGGCCAACATGGTGAAACCCCATCTGTACTAAAAATACAAAAATTAGCTGGGTATGGTAGGGCGCCTGTAGTCCCAGCTACTCGGGAGGCTGAGACAGGAGAATTCGCTTGAACCTGGGAGGCGGAGGTTGCAGTGAGCTGAGATGGTGCCATTGCACTCCAGCCTGGATGACAGACCGAGACTCCTTCTCTTCCTAAAGTAACCCCTGAGGCTATGCCATCGTAGTGACAAGGGTGGGAGTAATGAGTTGTCACTTACCTTGCTGGCTTCGAACTTGTCCCCAGGCTGGTGGTATTCAAACCCTGGACTGCCATTGGAGGTAGATATCTTCAGGGGAGGCAGAGGTGGGTTATAGCTGGAGCCCTTTGGGGGCTTCTCTGAGCCCGCAGGAACAGAGGAGTAGGGCCTGGGGCTGGCTTGGGGAAGCCTGGCAGGTTGAGACCTCATCACAGCTGTGCTCCTTTCTTTCCGTTGATACTCAATGGGCGATTGCAGTGCTGTGGGATAAGAGCAGGTGGTTACTCTAAGCTTTGGGAATCCCACAAGGATTTGGAGGCCTCTTAGGTCCAAGGCTTTGTGTTAGGCATCGTGTGGATAAGTGAGAAAAACACTACCCTTGTTTTTAAGGCAATGGGAGAACTAAGACATCTACCTAAATAATGAAAATACAAAAAACAAAACGGTGCCATATGTGAGGTGCCAAGGGTTGTGCAAAGAGAGAGAAGGCTCTGTAATATGTGTGTGGTGGTAATAACAAAGAGCTTCGGAAGAGAGCTGTGGCCAGACTCTGGCACTTAGGCTGCAGGAAGGAAGCAAGTGTGACGTGTTGGCGAGGGGAACAGGAAGTAGTCAAGGGTGTCTAGGAGGAAGAGGAAACCAGAAGGGTCTGTGAGGTGGGAAGTGCCATGGTATGAAAAGTCTAGAAAGTGAGTCCAATGAGTCTGGACTGAATTCTGAAGGTCATGAAAAGTAATTGGATGGAATGAACTTTAAAGCTTTAAATTGAGATTCTATCATCAGAGAGCGACATTTGAGGAACACTGACCTTGTAGTGGTTAGGAGGAGGGACTGGAGAGGATGAGACAGAAGGCTTCTTGTCTAATTCAGAAGCCACAGAATGGTAAAAGCGAGAGGTAGAAGGTCTAGGAGAGCGGGACCAGTGGGATGTGGAATGGATGTGGGCGTGGTGAGGTCGGGAGAGATGAGACTGTGACAGCCTAGGTGGGAAAAGCAATGCAAGAATCGAGGATGGCTCAGGTTTGGAGACTCGGAGGATGGCAGTCAGTGGAACTCAGAAGACAGGAGAATAAGCTGATGTGAAGGAGAAGACTGGAGCTTTGTTTTATTGAGTTTAAGGTAACAAGGTTGCAAGGTCTGAGAACTAAAGAGGGAGAGCCAGGCAAATGTCATACAGGTCCAATTCTTTAAGAATGACTTCAAAGGTTGGCCGATTATGTCATTTTTATCAGTTTGCACTGTAACAGCTATTTAAGTGGGTTAACAGCTGGGGCCCAGAGAACTTCTCAATTACAAGGATATTTCTACTGTGATAGGTACATACCTCAACAGGACTCAACATAGGGTCACACTTCCTTTCTACTTGAGGTCTCAGAAGGAAAGATTGGCTCTGAGATGCCTGCACACATCTCTGTAAGTAGAAGCCTGGCCCTGGTCCGTCATCACATCCTTGTCTCTTGTATGTGTCAAAGTAATAACAGGCCCACCAGAGCACTGCCTCTCTCACTGAGGAGTGTTTTGTGGCATTAAGTATTTAGGAGATGATAACCTAGTTCAGTAATACAGTCAGCCCACTGTATCTGTGAGCTCCACAACCATGGATTCAACCAACTGTGGATTGAAAATATATGGGAAGGGCCAGGTGCAGTGGTGCATGCCTGTAATCCCAGCACTTTGGGAGGCCAAGGCGGGTGGATCACTTGAGGCCAGGAGTTCAGGACCAGCCATGGCCAACATGGCAAAACCTTGTCTCTACTAAAAATACAAAAATTAGCATTTCTGTATTTTTGTATTGGTGGCATACACCTGTAATCCCAGCTTCTCAGGAGGCTGAAGCATGAGAATCGCTTGAACTCAGGAGGTGGAGATTTGCAGTGAACTGAGATTGCGCCACTGCACTCCAGCCTGGGCGACAGAGCGAGACTCTGTCTCAAAAAAAGAAAAAAAAAAAAAAAAGAAAATATATGGGGGAAAAAAGGATGGTTGTGGTCTGTACTGAACATGTACAGAGTTTTTTTTCTTGTCATTCCATAAACAATATAGTATAACAATCATTTACATAGCATGTACATTATATCGGGTATTATAAACAATCTAGAGATGATTTAAAGTACAGGATGATGTACACAGGTCATATGCAAACACTATGCCATTTTATGTAAGGGACTTGAGCATCCACAGACTCTGGTATCCTCGGGAGGTCTTGGAACCAATTCCCTGTGGATACCAAGGGCTGACTGTATCTCCATGATTCATTAGGAGAAAGGTCTCTTGGAACGAAGTAAAGGTCTGAATCATTGACTATGCCTAAATAAATACAGTTCCAAGTTCTAAGTACATAGCAGAGTTATAAAGTAGGCCTTATCAAACTGATTTTATGAATCAATTCCCATCACATGGAATTGTGATATTACCTGGTTATTTACAATAATTGTGCTAAAACATTTGAAAATAGAATGCCTTCTTAAATAAGCTAAATGGACAGCCTGTATTCTTTCACCAGCCTCCATTTGCATAACTTAATTCTCAGAATCAAGAAAACTGTGCGTCCCTACAGGGTTTGTTTTTGACTGATCGATACAGTGTCTTATGTCTGATCCTGTTTCTTTCTTCACTTTGGTTGCTAGGGAGATCATAATTAAATAAATGAGTGCCCTAACACTAGCACCTATACTGCAGTTTTGTGGTTCACAACCTTAATTTGAAGTCCTATAGCTGTGGATTCAAGTCCTGTTTCTATCACTTACTGCTTCTGTGACCTTGGACAAGTTCTGAGTCTCCTTTTCCTCACTTGAAAAAAGTAGGACAATAGTACTTACCTCTCCATGTTGGCGTGAGGATTAAATGTGAAAAACCATGTAAAATGCTTAGCATAGTGCCTGGCACAGAGCAAGGATTCAATACACAGGAGCCATTATTGTTATGTCAATAACTTCTTGTTTCAACTTACTGTTGCACCTTATTTTTCTTTTGTCCCAAATTGATGAATTTTAAAATTCCTAATTTCAGCTTAGAATCTATCAGAAACTCCTAATAGAATGCAATTTAAACAGATATTTTTATATATGAACACATTTTTGCATAAAATTATTTTATCAACAAAAGTGTTCATTTGAAGTTGTATATTATATTCAGAAATCATAAGCCATATAAAACTTTCATTACCATCCCTCAGGGCTGGGCTGGTGTTTAATTTTAGACATTTTAGAGTGAAAAGAATCCTAGAGATCACTTAGTCTAGTTGTTTTTCACCAAATTTTTTTTACAGTTGAGGGCCAGGAGCCTGGCCCAAAAATACTTTCTGTAAGTGCAAAATTGCTTTGAAGTCTCATGTTCTATCTTAAAAAGTCGTGGCATCCTGTTACATGATCTCCTTCTATTTGTCTTTAAAACACTGTGCTAAATCCCTTATAATACAGGGAAACTGATATTGTAGGGAGGATGCCAGGTGTCCTGCTTCCAGGAAGACTGGCCCATCACAGAGCATGCCAGCATGGGCAAAGTAGATCTACCTGAACTCCCTTTTTCACAAAACCAGCCACAAGGCCCAGAGAAATGTCATGACTCCTCAAGGTCCTCAACTCGTATGGCACCTTTTATCTTTCCCTTCAGCATTCAGTTCCATTCTAGACATCCAGAAAATGCTGTATTTGGATCATTTGAAAGAGTCCAGATCCTAGTACTGGCATGAAAAGGTGACACACCCGAGGGTGGGCCTGTACGTGTGTACATGCATGTACCTGTGTGTGCGCTCCTGTGAGCACGTATGGCCATGTAGGACGGATCTCAGGACAGGCAGGAAGAGGTGGTATACCCAAAGGTGGTTGTGTGTGTGTGTGTGTGTGTGTGTGTGTGTGTGTGTGTGTGTGTGTGTGTCTCGATATACAGGCATATGTGTTTTCTGAGTCTTCAGGTTTACTTCATTACTAGTTACATTTTGCATTCAACTTCAAGCTCTATTTCTGCTTGGTTAGACTTCTGAGCTAACCAAGTCAGCAGAGATCAGCCACTAGCTTAAAATCGCATACCCCTTTCCCATGCCAAGCTCAGTGTGAAGAAAACCCCAGCAGGGGAAAAAATAAAGAAATATATACAAAGTGGCAACTCTACTTCACTCCAGTTCACACCACCCATGAGGGAGCTCCTGCAAGGGCCACAAAGAGCTACACCCTCTGTGTAACCACAAATTTTCTTCTAGGAAGTTTCAGGGTATTACAGAAATTTAAAGTTAGCAATCATCTCTCATTTAAAAGGGGTAAGGTTGGCTAGTAATGTGGCTTATGTAGGCTCTCACACTGTTGGGAGCAGAGGAGGGATTTGAACTGATTGGTCAAACTCTCATTTATCTCTAGTTAACACTACAGAAGCTGTGAAAAGTGGAAAAACACATATCATTTCTAGCCGGTCCTGGTTCCTTAGACACAGAGGATGTGCCTATCTCAGACTTTTGCCCAAATTAGTACCAGGTGGTAGTGATGGCCACAAGACATATATCCTGTGTCCTATAAGTGAAATCTCTTCTATCAGAAAGATGGAGCTTCTTTTTCATACCCTATCTGTTGTGCTTGTGTATTCAGCTTCAGAAAAATTCTAAAGTGTTTCTGAAAACTACAAAGTTGGAGTACCTATAAAATGTGATCTGGGTTCATAACTCAACATGAACCTAGACCCAAGGAAGCTCAGAGGTCGTGGAGTCCCCTGACACAGCCCTGCAAGGAACCAAGCCCAGCACCCACCATTCAAAAAGTCTCGCTGTGTTTCTAAGACTTGATTGATGTCCTGCACCCAGGCCTGCTGGATGTCAGCGTTGGCGGCTTGCAGAACAACCCTCTCAGAAGTCTCTCTGTTCATGAGTGCAAACTTGCAGGGATCATTGTCCACATTCTCCTCCAGGACCAAGTAATTCATCTGGAAGAAAACGAGTTGATCCTTTTTACATTTAAAAGATTTTTTAAAAATCAGCAACATATTACTCTTCCTCAAAGTTTCTATTTCAGGACAAGCTTCCAAATTTTGCCCTGGATCTAGCAGGACAGTACTTAGGTTTTTGTCTCTGGGTGAGTGACACGATCCCAGGGAACCTGCAGGATCATGCCAGAGACTGGCTCAGCCTGTCACTTCAGCTCACAGATAATCACTGTCGTGCAGCCTCCATGACCGAATGTTATTCGGCTGAAAGATCTTCACGGTTCTGGATGTCACAACTCCAGGGCCTCGTCTTAGGGAAGCAGCTCCCAAGAACTGGGCTCTTCCTTGCCTCTTCTCATCACCATTGGGATCCTCACCTTGATGCTCCTTTTGAACATGTAGCCAGGGGTGAGGGATCCCTTCCTGAGCAGTTCACTGAAGATGACAATCTGCTCGAAGAGGAACACGCGCCTCTCTTTGGTCCGGGACTGCATGCCTGCATCCAGCTCGATCACATAGAATGTGTCCTGCTGCAGCAGCTTCCCCTGAGCAGTCAGAGTGCCCTGAAGGAAAGACGGGCTGGGGTGAAGTGAATGAAAAATGGGGAGCGAGCCACTGCCCTCTGGGTCCACAGAACCTCCCCATCTGGGGATACGGGCAACAGATTTGACAACAAAAGCCTCAGGGCTCTAGGAAGAGACTGAATTAGGACCCACCCACTCATCCAGGGGCCGACCTTGGCCACTTTCCTGTTCACACAAGGGCCCTGGAGGGAAAGGGAAAGCAAGCTGCGGAACCACTGAGAAACAGCTCCAGGCAAATGCCAGAAGGCAGGAAGGTAATATCATTAGCAGAAAAGCCATAATCCTGGCCCTTCTTGTTTTTTATTGAAAGGACAATAGAAAGTAGGTGACACTTGGAGCTGCAAGTGGCCTTTCCATCCTCAGAGCTCTGAGAACGGTGCCTGCCTGGTTCCTTTGCAGTATGGGCCAAGGACCAAGGGCATTCTCATGGCCACCAACCTTGAACTCACCTGTAGACAAGGGAAGTGATGAAGGCAGGACCACAGATACTCTGATAAGTCACTCCCCTCTCTTCTTCAATTATTTTAGGATGGAGAAATTCTGAAATCTTAGTTTCTAGTTATAGGCCAACAGGTAAAGTTGGGGGTACTATAGATAGGTCTCCATATTTTATAAGCTGGTAGATACTTTTCTGGGTTCTGTGATTCTTCTAAAAATGACTCCAGGGTGGGTGTGGTGCTCATGCCTGTAATCCCAGAACTTTGGGAGGCCAAGCCAGGCGGATTACCTGAGGTCAGGAGTTCAAGACCAGCCTGCCCAACATGGCGAAACCTCATCTCTACTAAAAATATAAAAATTAGCCAGGGGTGGTGGCGTGTGCCTGTAGTCCCAGCTACTTAGGAGGCTGAGGCACGAGGATCACTTGAACCTGGGAGGCAGAGGTTGTGGTGAGCCAAAACTGCACCACTGCACTCCAACCTGGGCAACAGAGTGAGATTCTGTATCTAAATAAATAAATACATGAATAAATTTTAAAAAACTAATAAAATAAAAAAATAAAAATGATTCCAGCTACTAGGCCACCTGACACCTAGCTGAGGAGGTAGAACCTATTTGGTTTGCCAGTTTCTAATGAGATTTTCAGAGACATCTTCACAGCTTCAAAGGGAATATGGCCCAACCCAGAAAGTCTTCCCAGACTCTGTCAGAGCACCTTGCACTTCTATTGCTTTGCAACAAGAAGACCCTGACATCAGAGAGAGCAATCAGAGGGCCTCCTCTGAAATGCAGGTGCTCTTTCTCAGGCGGCAACTCTACCCTTTGGCACAAATGTGGCCATTCCCTTCATGTGATGCCTTATTCCAAACACTACCCAGCAGAGGGGTCATTTTTCTTTTGTGTTCCTGAGAAGTGCCTGCCCTCTGCCTGGATCATGGCTCCTTACTGCCAATGTCAGCAGCCAAACAGGCTTATCTCTACTGTGGTCTAAAGTTAATATTAAGCCAGTGACCAGCTAGCCAGGAAAGCTCTATTAATATTACACAAGAACCTATCATGGGTTATAGCTCGGCCAGCACCAAAGGGAAAGCCAGAGGATCTGAAAGTGGGGAGGAATTTAAAAGAGGAGGCTCTAACTTCTCTCAAGCCCAAAGCCATGGGCTGAGGGAATAGACACATGCTCACTGTTCTTCCCAGTTAGCTGAAGGAATGCAAAAAGCAGGTTCTGGTGGCTTGACAAAAACAAGAGACAGCAGTGCTTAACTTAAAAGCTTGATTCTGGGCTGGGTGCAGTGGCTCACGCCTGTAATCCTAGCACTTTGGGAGGCCAAGGCCGGCGGATCACCAGGTCAGGAGATCGAGACCAGCCTGGCCAGCATGGTAAAACCCCATCTATATTAAAAATACAAAAATTAGCCAGGCGTGGTGGCGCCTGCCTGTAATCCCAGCTACTTGGGAGGCTGAGGCAGGAGAATCGCCTGAACCCAGGAGGCGGAGGTTGCAGTGAGCTGAGATCATGCCACTGTACTCCAGCCTGGGCGACAGAGCAAGACTCCATCTCAAAAAAAAAAAAAAGCTTGATTCTGTGCTTGTGGGTGCCCTTATATGCGCGCGCGCGCACACACACACACACACACACACACACACACACACACTCACATGTACAACACAGCTCCTGTGAAGTTTAACTTGGGATAGACAGCACAATCAGACACCACTCCTCCTGAGTGGTCACTTCCTCCAGAGACCCAGAGAAGCACAGTTAGACTCCTGTTCAGAAAACATGGGGTCTTCAAGGTTGAAGAGCAAAAGGGATCTCTTGGTTTGTCCAGTATAGCCTCAGACCTGATGTAACGCCAAGGGAAAATGTATAAAACTCCACCCAGTATGACGGAAGAAAAATGGTTAAGAACTCAGTGTGTGTCTGCCGAGTAACCCTGCTTACACTAATGTCTCCAGCCTGCTTTGGAAGACCAAGAGCCTATGAAAAATGCACAGCAAAGAAAACCATCCACATAGTTCCTGTCACAGCAAAGCATGAAAACCAGACAGGGACACATGGGATGGGCTGAAAGGGCAAGGAGGAGAAGAGAATTTGGCTCAAGAATGTCATGAATCCAATGCATGAAAGCTAACTTAAATATACTATCCCGTAAATTATTCATACAGTGGTATGAGTATGAGTCAACTATATCTCTGTCTTGTATCTATTTCATTCTAGTTTAGCCAGAAAAAAAACAAAAAACAAAAAACAAGCCATTTATTTCTGAATTATCCCAAATTCTAGGAATCCCTTTGCCCCAAAAAGGAATAATGAAAGCTTAGGTTTCAGACTGCTGGGAAATAAAAGATCCACATCTTTCTCTAAGGGGATCAACAACTACTAGGTACCAATCAATAATTGTGTCAGTTCCAATTTTATCATATTAATCTTAAAAACATATTGTGTGTGGTTAATTTATTAGGTTTGGATATACGTTAATAACAGTCAGTTATTAAGTTTAAATTAGAAAGTCAATTTCCTCTTCAAAGGTTCACTGTTATGGGCTGAATTGTGTTTTCTCTCCTTCCATGCCCCCATCAATTCCTATGTTGAAGTCCTAGCCCCTAAAATCCCAGAATGTCAGCATGTGACCTTATTGGGAAATGGGGTCTTTACAGAGGCAATCAAGTTAAAGTCAAGTGGTCATGCCAGTAAGCCCTAATAGAATATGACTGATGTCCTTATTTAAAAAAAGGAAACGGCCCAGTGTGGTGGCTCACGCCTATAATCCCAGCACTTTGGGAGGCCGAGGCGGGCGGATCACCTGAGGTCGGGAGTTCGAGACTAGCCTGACCAACATGGAGAAACCCCGTCTCTACTAAAAATACAAAAAATTAGCCAGGTGTGGTGGCACATGCCTGTAATCCCAGCTACTCAGGAGACTGAGGCAGGAGAATCGCTTGAACCCAGGAGGAGGAGGTTTTGTTGCCACTGCACTCCAGCCTGGGCAACAAGAGCAAAACTCTGTTTAAAAAAAAAAGGAAACTTGGCCACAGAGATAACACAGAGGGAAGGGAATGTGAAGATACAGGGAGAATGCCATGTGAACATAAAGACAGCCATCTACAAGCCAAAGAGAAAGGCCTGGGGCAGACCCCTCCCTCACAGCTCTCAGGAGGTACCTGACAGTACCTTGATTTCAGACCTCTAGCCTCTAGAAATGTGAGACAATAAATCTCTGTTGTTTAAGCTGCCCAATTTATGGTACTTTGTTTTGGCAGCCCTAGTAAACTTGTATGTTCACTTAAACCAAAATCTTTGGGACACAGCCATTTCCCTGCAGACTTGATTCCCCTCTTCAAATAACAGAACTTTGTACTGTAATGTTTTAGAGTTTTAACTATTCATTTAACTGAAAAGCCAGAACCACCTTCTCAAAAAACAGGTGTTCCATTCTCCTGCCTAATTCCACTTCTATCACATAGCCCTGCTGTCACTCACAGTCCCTGCTTTATCAATCAAGAAGGGAAAGGAAGAGGTCACTATCAGGTCTAAACACTCATAAAGAACTCTGGGTCTTTCCTAGCCTGGCAACATGGCAAAACCCCATCTTTATAATATAAAAAATATTTAAAAATAAGCCAGGTATGGTGGTGTGTGACTGGAGTCCAGCTTCTCAGGAGGCTGAGGTGGGAGGGCTGCTTGAGCCCAGGAGGCTGAGGCTGCAGTAAGCCAGGATTGCACCACTCTGCACTCCAGCCTGGGTGACAGGGCAAGAACCTGTCTCAAAAAAAAAAAAAAAAAAAAAAAAAAGAATTCTGGGTCTTTCCAATCTCCTTGGAATTCTGACTTTGGTTTGGCTAAATGCTCTGTAACTTCTTATGACCTCCCTACTGCTGGACTTCCTAAAGAGATGCATCTTCCAGGACTGTGAACCAGAGGGGCCCGGGTAGGAAGGCATAGTGGTGAGTGAAGGAGGCACAGGCAGGACACAAGGCTTCAGGGGGAGGAAGCCGCAACAGTCTGGACTCCTATTGTCCTGGAGAGAGTGGGCTTAGACGCATTCTTAAAGACTCACCTCAAAGCCCTGCAGACGTCCTAGATTCATCATGTCATTGCAGCGTTTGGGAACAAGGCACATTAACTCCACTGCTTTCTGTGGGAAAGAACAACTGTTACTCAGGAGGGGGAACAGCACTCAGGCAGGAAGCTCTTGGTAATTCAGTGCTGGAAAACAGGGACTTCATCTCTGGTGGCTCCTTTATTCTAGGAAGGGATGCTGGTTCTGGCTGTCCACTCTCAGAGAGTGTGGGGCTTTCTGTTCTAGAGGGAGGGTGTTGGTCCTCAGCACAGGGGCTCCATGTCAGTCACTGAGCATATGTTGGGGGAATATTACTCAGCCCCTCCTTTCCCTACCTTCCTGTTTTTGTTCATCAATTCCCTTGCCTTCTCAGATTTTCTTTCTTCTCTCTGTTGCTTCCTGGCTGCCCAGGCAACAGCTTAGCCTGGCTTGTGAAACACTAGAGGTTTTCAACTAAAATAATCTGTCAGAATGGTCTGTAACCTCCCTGGCTTAAAATAATCCCATAGTGACATTGTCTCAAAGGACTTCACTTGGAAGTAGTCTGCAGGGTTTGGACAGGGAGGTGAAAATGGAATACTTTATATGTTTGACTCAAATAATACTTGCCTTCACGAATAAAATTGCATACTGAGGCTTTTGTGCAACTTACATCTAATCTCTGAAGGATATTAAGGGGTTACCCTTTCCCACTATGTGTCACCAGGAGCCAAAAGAACACCAGTGGGGCTAAGCTCTAGTGCACCCCAGGACAGATTTCTTTAGTTCTAGGAAACACTGTGTTAACACTTGCCATTCCTCAAGCAGGTACAAAGCTGTTTACAAGAGCCTCTTACTGTCTGAGAGGGGTCCACCTGGATCCACGGTCCTCCTGAGACAATCTTTTCCCCTCTAGAGAAAGATATCCAATATGGTCCCTAAGAACAGCAAGCATTACAAGCAGAAAACTCACCTCAATATCTGAACACTCCAAACCAGCCTTCTCACTGTATCTCAGGAAGTCCTAACAAGTAGGGGAAGCAGGCAAGAGTGTGGGAAGGGGTAAAATTAGTAAAATAGCTGGGAAAAAACTTATCATAAAAATACAATAACACCCTGGAGACTTTCCTTCCCAGCAGAAGTGGCAATGGTGTAGAGTAGCTGAGAAATGAAATTATGAGTCATGTAAGATGTAATAACATAGAGAGAACTCCCAGAATATTCAAATTTCTTTTCTTTCTTTCTTTCCTTTTTTTTTTTTTTTTTGAGACATAGTCTCACTCTGTTGCCCAGGCTGGAGTGCAGTGGTGCAATTTTGGCTCACCGTAACCTGTGCCTCCTAGGTTCAAGCGATTCTCCTGCCTCAGCCTCCTGAGTAGTTGGGATTACAGGCAAGTGCCACCACACTCAGCTAATTTTTGTATTTTCGGTAGAGATGTGTTTCACCATGTTGGCCAGGTTGGTCTCAAACTCCTGACCTCAGGTGATCCACCTGCCTCAGTCTCCCAAAGTTCTGGGATTACAGGCGTGAGTGACTGCACCCAGCCTCAAAATTTCAAAGCTATGGGAGAAGGAAGAGTGAGAGGGAGGGAAGACAAAGGAAAGGGGGATTATGACAAGAAAGGAGAGAAAGGAAAGTTAAGTCTCTCTTTTCTATTTAGCCTCCTAGTTCCATAAGATGAATCAAGTTAAGCCATTGTTTAAAATATAATTAGGCCGGGCACAGTGGCTCATGTCTGTAATCTCAACACTTTGGGAGGCCAAGGTGGGAGGGCTGCTTGAGGCCAGGAGTTTGAGACCAGCCTGAGCAACATAGTGAGACCGTGTCTCTACAAAAAAAATAAAAAATTAGCCAGGCATGATGACATGCATCTGTTGTCCTAGCTACTTGGGAGGCTGAGAAGGGAGAATCGCTTGAGCTCAGGCATTTGAGGCTGCAGTGAGCTATGACTGTGTCACTGCACTGCAGCCTGGGTGACAGAGTGAGACCCTGCCTCAAATATATACATACATATTATACTTTATAATATATATTGATTATATATAAAATATATTGATTTTATATAATATATTGATTTTATATATATATAAAATCAAATTTTAGGTATTACTAATCTAATATTTCTAAAGCCTTGCCTTTCCCTTTCTTTCTCCCTTGTAGTTCACTCTGATATCATATTCTTCTTATTTTTTAAAGGTATCAAGTCAATGATTGAGACAAAGTAAGAATGTGAATTGAAAAAATAAAATCAAGTAACAACCCACCTTAAGGGTAGGAAGAACAGCCATGCAGTTTATTTGGGAGCAAAGCTGACAGAGTAACCAGCAGTCAGATAAAAGTTCCCACGTCCCTACCACCCCTCCCACAGTTCACAGTCCTTTGGGACAGTGTGGTGGAGACAGAACCGCTAGCTCTACCCCTAGCTCAGAACCTGCTCTGAGCCTGATGGATCCTTCTCCAGCCCTCACCCAGGCTCCCAGCTTCTTACCTTGAGGAGCAACTGGTATTTTGTTATTCTCTGAATGGGCTTGATGAGGAAGTCACTCAGTGTCAGCCTCTGATTTATCTCCTGTTTTACCTCCTGAAACACAGGCAGCAATATTAGAAGAAAAAGGAACTGAAGAACTGGGGTGCTTTGAATAAGGGTTCAAAGGCATGGAAGACAGGTCTGCATGTTTTCCAATGAAGTTGAAGAATCTTTAAGTAATGTGAGAGGTAAAATTGCCTAGAGGACTGTTCACTTGTTATGAACAACACATAACACACATCACCACTGGCTTCCTGCCTTCCTCCCATGCTTTTACAGTGAGTACTTCCACACCTTGGTCTTCATCCCAGTCCTGGGAGAAAAGCTGGAGGGGCCTTATTCTCTCCACCACTTCAGGGCAAAGGCAGGGAAAAGGGGCTTCTTCTAGGACACACAAGCCTATGGAGCCAGGCCCTAAACTTAGATCTCCAAACACTCAGCTGAGTGCTTTTTCTAAGTGATGATGCTGCCTTTCTCCCAGCAAAATAAATCCTTCTGGGCTAGACCAAGCAGACTAGGAAGTGGCTGCAAACCCTTCAACCAACAGAAGACTCCTTAGTAAGTGGTCCCTGGGGGACTGGTGGGTACAGTCTGCTCCAGGGTCACTTAAGAAGAACTGGAGCTTCTCAAACCATCTCTGTGTTCAGGCTTATTCTGCAAATGGGGGATTCTCAAATCAGAACCCAGACTGGGCCACCTCAGCTCCTCTCAAGTGAAGGTGCTCATGAGAATTTAGCTAAGAAGCTGCTTTCTCTGTTGAGGCAGCTATTCCTGCCATGAATGGGTCAACGGTGCTGTGTGGGGGTCACATATGGATGGATGACGTCTGGTATTTCTGAAAGTGGCTGTTTTGGCCTGAGTTTTCCTCCCACCCCAGTTCAGCAAAGCCTGCACAGCTTACCTCAAAGTAGGCGTCATACTCAGCAACGATGTACTCTGAGCGCGGCTTATTCTGACAATACCACACGTAGATGTGCAGCTTCCGCTCCTGAAAGAGCAGAGAGAGACATGTGGACAGTCAGGCATCTTGTGTCTTTTGTTCAATCTCAGAGTGCCGTGCTGGCCTCCACGTGGACAAAGGACAAAGGCGCACTTGGGGACGCACCAAGGCAGCTGAATATCAAGGATATAAATGTGGTGGGCAAGAGCCACTTTCCAAATCGCCAAGGTGGTCAAAAAAACAAAAAAACTTAGAGAGGGCTGAGAAAGAAGGTCACTCAAGGAAGAGCAGAAGAGAAGAAATTTTATTTACTTTTTTTTCTGAGACAGGGTCTTGCTCTGTCACCCAGGCTGGAGTGCAGGGTGGGGCCATCATGGCTCACTGCAGTCTTGACCTCCCAGGCTCAAGCGATCCTCCTGCCTCCGCCCCCCCAAGTGGCTAGGACTATAGGCATGTGCCACCAGCCTTGGTTAATTTTTAAATTCTTCGTAGAGATGGGGGCCTCACTATGTTGCCCAGGCTGGTCTCAATTCCTGGGGTCAAGCCACCCTCCCACCTTGGCCTCCTAAAGTGTTGGAATTACAGGTGTGAGCCACTGTGCCTGGCCAGGATTTTAAAATGAATATAAATGAGCCTAGTGAAGGAGTTGGGGAGGAGGTGATGGGAGACACTCACGTGCTTAATAAAGAGCTGTGCCAATCTGTCTTGCTCCTGGATACACTTTTCCAGTTCCGCCAGGAAAAAACTAAAAGGAGAAAGGGGATAAGAGAAGGAAGCCACATTATTCAGAACTGTATTATTTCTCAATAATAAGATGAATTACAGAAGACTCTCCCCTAAGCCCTACTCCTTGAGTCAGATGCAGGAAGAGGACTCAAGTCCTGGATTCCCAGGACACTGGATCCTCGGGGCAGCATTAACACTTACTCCTTATGCCAGTCATAAATCTGATGAATATTTCCAAACACGATTTTGTCCTTTCCTCGCATATCCTCAGGGACACCCTTTTCTTCTATTCTCTTCATGAAGCCCTGCAGCAGCAAAGGCAATGGTTAGTAGCATATTTTCACAGGAAAGCTTTCTGGGCCATGCCACACACCACAGCACCCCTGCAAGCCCACACTCTCTGCGTGAGTTTGCGGACAAATGCTTCTGTGGTTTCTCACTATTCAACCAGGTCTTTAACCCCTGGTGCAGAGCAATAGAGAAAACTTTTATGAGTTTCAGGATCCCCTTCTTTGTCTCCAGTCCCCTTAAGAAAGCAGAGCACAGAAGAAAACAATAAGCTGTCCCTCTTCCTTCTCCCAATCCAAATTAATCAGGTCTATAAAGGCTCAGAACTAGATACATCTGGCCTAGAAATAAGTCTTAATATGTTAATACTTTATAGTCTATAAAATGTGATCATAGAGAATTTCATTTCTGTTTTAAAATCAGGTTTTGAGGTTGGACAGGTAGCATTATCCCCATCTGACGGACAAGAAAACCCAGGCACCTGGGTGTTGGATGATGACTTGTCCATAATCGCACCACTGATGTCTGAGTTCCCTGCATTTCAGCCTCCCAGTCTTCAGATTCCCTCGTCCTCTACTCCTGGGCTGGACTGCATATGGAAGCTATTGTACCTCTTCCACCCCCCAGCCCCACAAAAAGACAAGAATAACTTTCCGTAAGTTAAAATTCAGGTTTTCTATATGGCTGGTTAATCTGTTTATCCAAGATTCAGAATAAGCAAATACAAAACCCTAAGTCAGCAGATTTCACAGGATGGGAACTCAGGCCAAATGTAAGGAACCAGCAGGCAATGTAGGCTTTAGGCATAGAATTTTTATTTTTTTGTTTTATTTTTACTTTTATTTTTATTTTTTGAGATGGAGTCTTGCTCTGTCGCCCAGGCTGGAGTGCGGTGGCGCGATCTCAGCTCACTGCAAGCTCCGCCTCCCAGGTTCACGCCATTCTCCTGCCTCGGCCTCCTGAGTAGCTGGGACTACAGGCGCCCACCACCACGCCCGGCTAATTTTTTTGTATTTTTAGTAGATACGGGGTTTCACCGTGTTAGCCAGGACGGTCTCGATCTCCTGACCTCGTGATCCACCCGTCTCAGCCTCCCAAAGTGCTGGGATTACAGGCATGAGCCACCGCACCCGGCCGAGAACTTTTAGACTTCATGTTCTTTCAAGATGATTAACAATAGGGCTCTAAGCCATTCAAGTTACCCATTTACTTTCTCAGGCTTTTTTTTTTTCATCCAAGTGTCTAAGTCCCTCTTAAGTGAATCCCTACAGAGCTAGATTTGTTTAATTTACTACCAAGTCGACTCTTAACTGTGGACCTGTCAACCTTGCTCATTGGTGGGTTTTTCTTTTATCTGTCTTTTTGCTAGCTGTAACACTTACCCTTGAAATCTATGGAAATGTATAAGCCCTAAGATCCCACTAAGAATGAACTGTTTTATGCCTATGTGGCTCATAGCTCTGAAGAATATATGTCCACATAGTTAAACATCAAAGAAAAGCTCTTAAGACAATAGCTTGGTCACCTAAAACAAAGTGGAATGAGTTCCACTCTAACCAAGAGGCTCCCCCAAATGCTATAACATTCAGGCCACTACTTCCCTCTAAATATCTTATTTCAAGGGGAAAAGAAAAATATTGCCTACATATTCTACTTATTACCATTTTTATTTTCATTTCTGCAAGTGCTCAGACAGTAAAGTACATGTAACCATCAGATTAAAACACCTTGGCCTAGGTAGGGTCCAACGTGCTCCTGGTTGGGTGACCACAGACCCACCTGGAACCCTCTACTTACCTCCACCACAATGCCCAGATCCTTGACATAGTCTTTCTCTGTCTGTACCAGCTCATTCAGGACAAACCTGAGCAGGAGATTAAGAACAGTGAGTGTTCCTCTTCATTGTTAAGCCAAAAATCTTCACTTAAGTTCACAGAAAAGTTACTTTGGCACCTTTATAACAAGACCCCTTAAAACACCCACACTTATCTCCTGGGAAAGATGCTTACGGATGCTTTCCCTAGAGGAGGCCCTACTGAAGGGCTGAGGACACCAAGGCCAGAAAGGACTTCCCCAGGTGACATACAATAGTCACACGAAAAATGACGCTCAGTACCTAGCATTCTTCTTTCTATTCTTCATGTGTTTCTCCCTCACCTACAACTGAACGATTGTATAGACAGAGGGCAGAAAGATTGACAACCATTTTGGCAAAACTGCGTTCTGAAAGCTTTGAGGCTGGGCAGGGGTTAAGATGAGACTTTTCTTCCTTCATTTCAGCTCCATTCTTCACTTAACAAGAAGAGAAAGACATTTATTTGATTACCAACCTGTAAGTCCTCCAAGACAAGGATAGATATCAAGTGAAGTTTTTAAGATATGGAAGCTGCAATTATTCAGATAGGTATCATGGTAACTGGCCTGGAAAACCCCCAGTCAAGGCCAGAAAGATGGACTGCAGACATTCCAAAATCACACATTTAATGCAGCACTACCTTCTCCAGGATGCAGGATTTAACAATTACAAGGACATTTGCTCTCTTGGTTTCTTTCTTGTTAATTCTTTCTACCATTTACTATGTGCCACTCCCTTCATCTGGGTTTTCCCATGCTTATAATAAGGTAGGTATTGTAAAACCTATTTTATATAAATGAAAATGCAGAGACAGAAAGATTAGGTAACCTGACCATGATTGCAAAGTGAGTAGCAGAGCCAGGATTTGAACCCAGTTGTGCAAGAGTCCAAAGACCATGCTCTTTCCCAGCAGCCCACTGCTTGGTAAACTACTCTGACTGGCTCTTGGGAGTCCTTGAAGCCTCAAACCCAAACACTCTTTCTGTCTTTTGTCCAGACACTAAAGAGCTTTACATAAAATGCTAAAGTTGTGCACAGGGGCAGGGTGGTGCTGTGCAACCTACTGGAGTCAAACTCTTCCAATCTGATTGGAATGAGTTTTGCCTGGGACCACACAATTGCATTTTGGGCACAAGTAGCAGAAATGATAAAGTTCTGAGATGTCAAAGTGGGACCCCAGCACAAGGGTGGTAACCATTTTTAACCCAGGAAGCAATTCATCTGAAACTCTTGCTCCGTATAGCCCCAGAAGCCACCACATTCCTGGAGCCTGGGGCCTCTGGGCAATGGGGAGGAAGCAGAGGAACACATGCTTCTTTATCAGTGCACCCAGCACTTCCAACAGCTCCCTCTCCAGCACAGACAATCATGTGTTTTAGGCCACAGGAAGGAACTGGCAAGGCCAAATGAAAGCATTTAAATATATCTTTACCATGGCCCAAGTTACCGCCTGGTAGAAAGTGGCAAAAGAAAACCCACAGGAAAGTTAGAGTGGGAATATGGGGCTGGGAGGGCCCTCTGGAGATGAAGTCCAGCTCTCTGTCTCCAGGCGATATTTTTATCCTAAGCTATTTGCTGACAGATGAGGGCTATCTTTGGCTTCTCAGCCTTTAGAGAAGGGAACTGTATTAGGTGCTGCTAGTGGACCTGTCATCTCTTCCCTTGAAGGGTTAATGAAGGAGACCATGACGTATTAAAAGACATTCTGAAAAGTGACATCAAGGATTTAAATTGCAGGCATTGCAAGGCAGTGCACAATTAATTGCCAAATGAACTGACAACAAGGCATGTTTTTCATGATAAGTTCTTATTAGTAGAAGTTATTTACAAACAAATGTTATTCTTTGGTCCAACTAAAATTATTTCAGCTACTGGTTAGAACCACTTCTAACCTCCTTTCACAGGGATAGGGAATGGCTGGTCTTCCACAGAAAATCTCTTAGATTCATTGCACTGGCTGTTCTCTCTCTTGAGAACACTTTTTCTCCATGGCTAATTTACCTCCCCCGGTCTTTGTGCAAATGCCAGGGCCATTTAAAATTGCAGCATGGCCTCATTTATTCTCTGGATCTCCCTTACACTGCTCTATTTTTTTTTCTTTTTCTTGTTTCCAACATAATACATAATTTATTTTGTTTATTGTCTGATTTCTCCCACTAGAATTTAAACTTGCCATGAGAGCAAAGACTTATGTTGTTATTATTTGTCTTATTCACTGATGTATCCCACTGATGGTACATACTGGTGTTAGACCAGTATTTGTTGAATGACTAAAACTTGAAGACAAGTAACTCCATTCTCAACTTTTTTCTTCTCCTGGACAAATGACTATTTGTGTTCATCTTTTCTCCACAGAGCTCTCATTTAACCCTTTGACGCCCCACTGCCATCTTCTGGATTGAGTCTTGGTTCGCTACACCCCTCAGCCTCTGGCCTCACATATGGTTTACAGTGAAACACCTATACAACACCCTTTCATCAAGACCATAAAGTACAGCAGGAGAGAATAAGGATGAGATATAGTAAGAGGTATGAGATACTCTAACAGCTGCATTTTCAAGATAGCTCAGGATGTGAAGAGGTGTGGATTTTGGCAAGAATGAGAAGAGGGAGAAGAGATGCGTAAAGTGGGCAAAAGAGACAGCAAACTTTTGTGGCCTGTTGAATCTGGACAATGGCTTAAATGACTGCTCAAAGGCCGGTTCAAGCTACATGCTAAGAGTAGTGACTGGCGGCTGGGTGCGGTGGCTCACGCCTGTAATCCCAGCACTTTGGGAGGCTGAGGCTGGCGGATCACGAGGTCAGGAGATCGAGACCATCCTGGCTAACACGGTGAAACCCCGTCTCTACTAAAAATACAAAAAATTAGCCAGATGCGGTGGCGGGTGCCTGTAGTCCCAGCTACTTTGGGAGGCTGAGGCAGAAGAATGGTGTGAACCCGGGAGGCGGAGCTTGCAGTGAGCCGAGATAGTGCCACTGCACTCTGGCCTGGGCAAAAGAGAGAGACTCCATCTCAAAAAAAAAGAGTAGTGACTGGCTTTTCCCAGGGTCACCTGCCACCTCAGAGGTCACCTTTCTGACTTAAGCTTTGCTTTGACTTGACAAAGGACTAAGACATCAGCTCCAACTTGGCCTCACCTGTGTAACAACAACCTGAGAAGCTAAGGAGACTCAGCTTTGTGCAAGTGCTAGGAAATTTCCCTTTGGGTATGGCATTTATCAACCTCTATTCCATTTACCAACTTCTTGGGGTTCCCCCTGAGTACTCACAAAGCTGAGGGGGTAAATACAGAATTTCAAGATTTACATGCTACTTGTTCATCTCCACTATGAAGTGATAGCCCTGCTTTCAAACCAGGCCTTCACTGTGATGTTCTCACTTTTGTTTCCTAGGAAACAGAAACTCATAAATAGACACTTTGTACATTTCTAGGTAACAGAAGGACCTGGCCTCACTTATTTTTGCTAGTTTTCATGTCTGTGGCTAGGCTAAAGGAGTGATGAATTTGAGAGAGAAAGGCAGGCTAATTAACAACAGGGAGGGACCCTTCACACCTGCCTTCCCAATTCTCACTACTGCTTATAATCTCTCACATGCTGAGCTATGTCTAAGACTCATCAGTAGCTCTGCTTCCAACACAGAGTACAACCCTAAACAAGAAAACAAAAGTTGGCCAAGTGCAGTGGATCCTGCCTGTAATCCCAACACTTTGGGAGGCTGAGACAGGAGGATTACTTGAGCCTAGGAGTCCCAGACCAGCCAGGGCAACCAAGCAAGACTCCATCTCTACAAAAAATAAAATAATTAGCCAGGCATGGTGGCGCACACCTGTAGTCCCAGCTACTTGGGAGGCTGAGGTGAGAGGATCCCTTGAGCCCAGGAGGTCAAAGCTGCAGTGAGCTATGATCATACCACTGTACTTTAGTCTGGGTGACCAAGCAAGACCCTGTCTCAAAAAAAAAAAAAAAAAAGATAGAAAAGAAAAAGAAAATGAAAGTTTTGGAGGAGTTCTGCTTTTGCACTAGTGGTATGTGGTATATTCTTGATCAACTCAAATAACAGATTGACTTCATATCAACATAGGTAACTCTTGCATAACATGGGATTGTTCTGCATTATGAATTTTATTTTACCACTAACTATTCAAAGTGGAGAAGAAGTTCTCTTGGAACTAATCCCAGAAACAGATGCAAAATTAAAACCTTTGGAGAAGGAGTAGAGACAGGACCTGCTTGGTGGTACAACAGCTCCTTCCTCTATATATAACTTTCCTACATTTGGGGAAATGTTTTCTTAGGTGATCTCTATCAGACTATCTGCCACGGTCAGAGACTCTCTGATTCTATAGGCCCTCAGTAACAGTCTCATAGTTTCCTCAACTTTGCCATTTTCCTTTTATCACTATGTTTTAAATTTCTAACAGACCTACAACCACACTTTGTCAGTAATAGCTGCTATCTCACAGAATATACTTTAGCCTAAACTTCAATCAAGTCAGTGCCAAAGTGGCTCAATGTTTATCAGTGCTATGCTGTACAGATCTGAGTCTTAGAATGAAAGATGTCAGTGGAAACAGCGTGGGGAACCCCTCTCGAATTTTCCCCAACCTTTGTCCATTGTCCACCGCACTCACATGTGCACCACAGGGAGGAACTGGGGAAGCCACTTACATCCTGCCTCTCAGGGCCTTGGCTTTCTGTTCTTCTTCTGGGTTTTTAGGAGGTGTGGGTGGGGCCATCCCCTCATTCAGGCAGCCTGCAGGGTCTTTCAAGCTCCCCCGGTATGAGCTTCCTTCTAGACTCTGAAAAGAGAGAAAAACAGGCTTAGAGAAGTGTACTTTGAAAAGTCATTTGGAATCCCTGTGTCCTCCCAGCCTAGCCACAGACAACATGGAAAATCAGTAGCCAAGGCTGTTCTCACCAAACCACAGTGAAGCACTAGCAGACCAGAGACTTTATCCTCCTGCAGCAGGGAGCCCAGAGCTGCCACCTTCTCAGGCAACCAGGATGTACTTGGCATCTATGTGCTGCCAATTTCCCAGACATAATGAAATTGTCAAAGTGACTATCTCTAGTTAAGAGCTCCAGAGGTAATGCTAACGATCGCAATTCTATACCAAATATGCAGTTACAAAAGAAAACAAGTGAAAAGGGTGAATATGGTACTCCAGAGGGAACTAAGGGTAAAAGAACCTAAATTTGAATCCCAGACCTGCTAGTCACTGAATGATTTATGTGAGATAGCTAAAATTGTTCCATGCTTCAGTTTTTCTCAGTTTTCAAATTAAATCTTCCCTCTCTACAGATTTCTAAGGAATAGGCCGAGATAATAGCTGTACAACCCCTTTGAAAAGTTAAAAATGTCCTATGATGATGGGGTTTTCCCCTGTCCCCATGGATGGAACTGTTAACGATAAAAATATTCAAAATGGAGTCAATCTTAACACTTTTACAAGTGTCCTGGAAGAAGGATTACACAGTGACATTTAGCATTTCATTATGCAAATTGGCAGAAGTAGTGTGGATACACAGTGAGGCTGGAGAGTAAGGTCAAGTTGGGCAACTGTAAAACAAATAATGAGAGACTAATCTAAGGCTATTCTTTATTATTATTATTATTATTATTATTATTATTATTATTATTTTATTTTAGAGACAGGGTCTCACTATGTTGCCCAGGCTGGTCTTGAACTCCTGGGCTCAAGTGATCTTCCCGCTTCAGTCTCCCAAAGTGTTGGGGTTACAAGCATGAGCCAATGCACCCAGCCATAATATCTATCTATCTATCTATCTATCTATCTATCTATCTATCTATCTATTTTGAGACAGGGTCTCACTCTATTGCCCAGTCTGGAGTACAGTGGTGCAATCATGGCTCACTGCAGCCTTGACCTCCTAGGCTCAAGCAATCCTCTCACCTCAGCCTCCCAAATAACTGGGACAGTCATGCACCACCATATCCAGCTAATCTTTTTTGTTTGTTTGTTTGTTTGTTTGTTTAAGAGACTGGGTCTCATTACATTGCCCAGGCTGGTCTTGAACTCCTGGGCTCAAGTGATACTCCCACCTCAGCCTCTCAAAATGCTGGGATTACAGGTGTGAGACAGCGTGTCTGGCCCTAAACTGCTCTTACAAGATGCCTGCCTAAACCAGCTACTGCAGCTAACAGAAACAGTTTCATTTAGTAGTTTTTGAAAACATTAGCCCTAAGGTTAAAGTCACAAAGATTTAAAAAAATGCAGTCCAAAAAGGTAGGAATGAAAGGCTTCAGCTTGGCCTTCAGTGAGCTGCACTTGGAGTATTGTCATGATGCTCTCAGTTGCTCTATTTTAACATAGGCTAAACAGGTAGAACAGAAAGGTCCAGAGAAATAAATCAAAAACTAATGAGGTTCCTGATGGTCCATTTTATAAGAAAAGATGGAGAATATGAAGATTTGAATCTGAAAAACATAACACTAAGCAGATATCAAACCTTCCATTCCCCCACCCCCAAACTGACAAAATGTGCCAAGGGCTAAACATGAATTTGTTACCAACACTAGAAACTGGAACTAAGAGGACAGGGTCTTCAAACTCAAGAGAGAATTTCTTTTAACTTGAGATAAAAGTATTCACAGAACAAGTAATCAGCCATGGAAGTTGTTATATCCAGAGCAGCAGTATAGGCTAAAAATATGGAAAGGTCAAGAAGGGTTTAGCTCAATTTATAGATACAGGATCTGTAACCTGTTATTAAGGAAATGAGAGTGTCTGGTGCTGAGGCTTGACAACCAAGCACACAGGCAGGCATTCCAAT
Source organism: Homo sapiens (assembly GCF_000001405.40). NCBI lineage: Eukaryota > Metazoa > Chordata > Mammalia > Primates > Hominidae > Homo > Homo sapiens. The sequence continues at coordinate 124,648,811 of NC_000003.12, read as the reverse complement.
GACATGTCTCCTGGTGCCATCACCAGAGACAGGCTCCTGGGCAGATGGGCCCAGCTGGTGATTGATCTGATTACATGCCTTTTACTTCCTCTTCTCTCCTTCTCCCCATTGTCCTGTTTCAGCCTTTGTTCTGCAGCCTGTTGAGTGGTAGCATGGTGACTGCAACGCCTGGGAAACAAGCCTTGGTTTATAGGCTCGCTTGACCATTAGATGCTGCTGAAGTTCATTCACAGTTCCATCCCTTTGCCCTTAGAAGAAATGAATGTTTTCCTCTAGTGAATTGCTGCTCAGTGGTATCCTCTGTGCTCCTACCCCTTCCCAGGGAGACACCTCTGCCCACGGGCACTCCCATGGAGCATCCAGCTTTGTGTGGTCCACTCTCAACCTTTCTACAGAACAAAGAACATCTGAGGAGTCCATTATGTCAAATGGGGAAATACTTCCATCTCCTCCTACCTGACCTGTTCTATAAGCAAAGTAGCCCAGGCTATCTCTAGGGGAGGACTCTCTGGGATGGCAACAGTGAGAGACAAGGACAAGAGGAAGAAAGAATTTGGCTAAAGCTATATGCTAGATAGTCTGCCTAAAACAATGGGTTTGATTTTAATGCTTGTAATAATTCAAGAGTGATGGCCTCTGAAGACCTAGCTACCTATGCTAGAGTTGGGATACTGAGCCCCAGCTAAGGGCAACTAGGGTTGACCTAAAATTCTCTGTTCTGCTCCTGGGAGAAAACAGGCAGTGGTGGCCAGGTTTCTGCCACAGTGAGGACTTATGCCCCACCTGGAGCTCAGGGCACAAATAGTCTCAGAGGACAAAGGAAAAGGTACATGGGGATAGAGCAACAAATGTTCCCATAGTCAATCCAAGGATGGGGAATAGAAATGCAAATAGATTCAAATATGTGACGAAGTGTGGAGGAAGGTCATCCCCATATTTAAAATGAACACATTTCCTGGGCGCTGGATCTGGGATCATATACTCATAACCTGCCCCCTCTCTGGGCACCTATAGACACTCTTTACATACTCCCTGCATGGCTTTCATCACATAGTATTGTAACCACTGGTTTGAATTCAGGAAAATATTTATTGAACATCTACTACATGCTAAATATTTGCAAAGTGCTGGAGAAATGAGGATGAATAAGACAAAGCTCCCTGGCCTCCATAATCTAAGCCAAAATGGGCACTCTTGTAGAGACACAGGGTACAATGGAGGGTGAACAAAAGGAGCAGGTGGCTCTATGGTGGGATGGAGAAGGAAAGACTTAATGGAAGAGGCAATGCTTGAACTGAGAATGGATAAATAGGAGACTTTCACTGGATATGCCAATGGGAGGACATTCCAGGCAGGAGCAGCATTGTGAGTATAGGGTGAAAGAACAAATGACATGGGGGCAGCCTGGGAAGCTGAAAGTAGCCTGGTGTGGGCAGAGTACAGAGTGTGAGGGAAGGAGGGTGGCAAGTAACTGTGTGTTTTGTGAGTCTGGGTGAGTAGGTATTAAAGGAAGAGGGGATGAGGAGTGAAAACAGAATCCTGGAGAAGTTTGCAGGGATCAGATCATAAGGAACCTGTCTGCATGGTATTAAGAAGTAGAGACTTGGCCGGGAATGGTGGCTCACGCCTGTAATGCCAGCAGTTTGGGAGGCTGTGGTGAGAGGGTCATTTGAGCTCAGGAGTTTGAACCGAGCCTGGGCAACATAGTGAGACCCCCATCTCTATTAAATAAAAAAATTAAAATTAAAATTAAAATAAAGAAGTAGAAACTTTACCTTCTAAGACCAATGATGGAAGGGTTGTAAGCAGGGAAATAGCATGTTTTGATTTAAGACTTAGAAATGTCAGTCTTAACGTTCCAAAGATATTTTCATAATTTGGGACAATGTCTCTGATGTGATAGTAAAGAGAAACAGAACTTAAATTTTAAGTACTCTGTGATTAACTATACTATTTTTAAAAGGGTCTAGAAGAAAACATATCAAAATTTCAATACTGAATATGTCTAGATGATGATTTATGTTTATACTCGTCATTTTTCCAAATTTTTTTGAATAAGCATATATTTCTTATATTCGTCAGAAAAGAACTATTAATTAAAAAAAAAAAAAATGGAAAAGAGGCCGGGCGCAGTGGCTCATGCCCGTAATCCCAACACTTTGGGAGGCCGAGGGGGGCAGATAACCTGAGGTCAGGAGTTCAAAACCAGCTTGGCCAACATGGTGAAACCCCATCTCTACTAAAAATACAAAAACTAGTCAGATGTGGTGGCACATGCCTGTAGTCCCAGCTACTCGGGAGGCTGAGGTAGGAGAATCACTTGGACCTGGGAGGTGGAGGTTGCAGTGAGCCGAGATCATGCCACTGCACTCCAGACTGGGTGACACAGCAAGGCTCTGTCTCAAAAAAAAAAAAAAAAAGTAAACAAAAGATCCCTCTAGCAGTCACATAGAGAGATGTCGGACTAAAATCTAAGAGGAAATGATTTCCAACAGTCCAGGGAGGAGAGGATTTTAAGCATTAACCCTAGAGACTGCGAGCTCCATATAAGGAAAATTCTGTGCTTGATTCCAAAGCCTGGTGTACAGGAGGACTCCAAGAATTTATTAAATATGCTATGTAACTTGGGAAGAGATCAAAGCTCATGTGATGAGACAATGGGTAAGCTAGCTGGTCCAGTGCCACCTACCACACCAACCAATCACCTCTTAGTTGCTCCTCTTTGATAAAAATTTGCATATCACAACTGTTAGGATGGCTATTAAGAACAAAATAAGAGATCAGGGTCCGATTCCCAGACAGGGAGGCAGCAAAAAAATAAAAATAAAAATGAAAAATAAGAGATAACAAATGTTGGCAAGGGTGTGAATAAAAGGGAGCCCTGGTACGTGTTGGTGGGAATGTAGACTTATGTAGACATTTTGGAAAACAGTAGGGAGGTTCCCAAATAAATTAAGAATAGAATTATCATATGACCCAATAATCCCTCTTCTGGGTATATACGCAAAGGTAATGAAGTCAGCTTTTCTTAAGACATCTGCACCCCCATGTTCATTGCAGTATTATTTACAATAGTATGCTATGGAAACCCCTAAGTGTTATTGATGGACAAATGGTTAAAGAAACTGTGATACACACACACACACACGCACAGAGAGAGAGAGAGAGAGAGAGAGAGAGAGAGAAATATTATTCAGCCTTAAAACACAAGCAGTGGGGAAAGGATTCCCTATGTAATAAATGGTGTTGGGAAAACTGGCTAGCCATATGCAGAAAACTGAAAGTGGACCCCTTCCTTACACCTTAAACAAAACTTAACTCAAGATGTATTAAAGACTTAAACATTTTTAAAACCTAAAACCTAAAAACCCTAGAAGAAAACCTAGGCAATACCATTCAGGACATAGGCATGGGCAAAGACTATGATTAAAATACCAAAAGCAATGGCAACAAAAGCCAAAATTGACAAATGGGATCTAATTAAACTAAAGAGCTTCTGCACAGCAAAAGAAACTATCATCAGAGTGAACAGGCAAGCTATAGAATGGGAGAAAATTTTTGCAATCTATCCATCTGACAAAGGGCTAATATCCAGAATCTACAAAGAACTTAAACAAATTTACAAGAAACAAACAAACGACCCCATCAAAAAGTGGGCAAAGGATATGAACAGACACTTATCAAAAGAAGACATTTATGCAGCCAACAGACACATGAAAAAAAGCTCATCACCACTGGTTACTAGAGAAATGCAAATCAAAACCACAATAAGATACCATCTCACGCCAGTTAGAATGGCGATCATCAAAAAGTCAGGAAACAACAGATCCTGGAGAGAATGTGGAGAAACAGGAACACTTTTACACTGTTGGTGGGAGTGCAAATTAGTTCAACCATTGTGGAAGACAGTGTGGTGATTCCTCAAGGATCTAGAACCAGGAATACCATTTGACCCAACAATCCCATTACTGGGTATATACCCAAAGGATTACAAATCATTCTACTATAAAGACACATGAACACGTATGTTTATTGCAGCACTGTTCACAATAACAAAGACTTGGAACCAACCCAAATGCCCATCAATGATAGACTGGATAAAGAAAATGTGGCACATATACACCATGGAATACTATGCAGTTGTAAAAAAGGATGAGTTCATGTCCTTTGCGGGGACATGGAGGAAGCTGGAAACCATCATTCTCACCAAACTAACACAGGAACAGAAAACCAAACACTGCATGTTCTCACTCATAAGTGGGAGTTGAACAATGAGAACACATAGACACAGGGAGGGGAACATCACACACTGGGGCCTGTCTGGGGGTTGGGGGCTAGGGGAAGGATAGCATTAGGAGAAATACCTAATGTAGATGATGGGTTGATGGGTGCAGCAAACCACCATGACACGTGTATACCTATGTAATAAACCTGCACGCTCTGCACATGTATCCTGGAACTTAAAGTATAAAAAAAAATTTTAAAAAAAGATCCTGCCATTTGCCACAACACAGATGGACCTGAAGGACATGATGCTGAGTGAAATAAGCCAGATACAGAAAGAAAAATATTGCATGATCTCATTTATATGTGGAATATTTTTTTAAAAGGTCAAAATATACACAAAAATATACACGGATAGAAAATAAAACAGTAGTTACCAGCAAAGTGGAGAAGGCAGCTAGGAAACCGGGACATGTAGGTCAAAGGATACAAAGTAGCAAATCTGTAGCATGAACAGGTCTAGAGACCTAATCTACATGAGGATTATCATTAATAAAATTGTATTTGGAATTTTTGTTAAATAAGTACATTTAGCTACTCTTTAGGTACTAATTTAGACTTCCACCAAAATTTTATTTAACTAATTAAAATATAAATTTTAGCTACTTTTGTCACACATACTCAAAAAAGTAACTGTGTGACATGATAGATATGTTAATTTGCTTCACTACAGTAACCATTCTACTATCTATGGGTATCTCATAACATCATGTTGTAAACCTCAAATATACACAATAAAATATATGTAAAAAAATAACATATGGCTGTGGCTGTCACTTTGGGAGGCTGAAGTGGGAGGATTGCTTGAGCTCAGGTTCAACGCCAGTCTGGGCAACAAAGCGAGACCTCATCTCTGCTAAAAATAGAAAAATTTAAAAATCAGCCAGGCATGGCGACACATGCCCATAGTCCCACCTACTCAGGAGGTTGAAGTGAAAAGATTGCTTGAGCCCAGGAGATCAAAGCTGCAGTGAGCCGAGATCAAGCCACTGCACTCCAGTCTGGGCGACAGAGTGAGACCCTGTGTCAAAAAAACCGAACAACAACAAAATCCTTAAGTAATATTCTCTGGACAAAAAGCATGAGATCTAAGTAATTCCTAGGCAAACTGTTGGGGGGTGTAGGGACAATACACAGTTGAAAAGCTTAAGTCTGGATTTTCCAGGCCAATGACATTTCAGATTTGTAACTGGGCTAAAAAAAAAATTTTGTGGAGGCTGGGCATGGTGGCTCACACCTGCAATCCTGGCACTTTGGGAGGCCATTGCAGGAGAATTGCTTGAGGCTAGGAATTTGAGACCAGCCCGGGCAACAAAGTCAGACCCTGCCTCCACAAAACAAAAACAAAAACAAACAAACAAAAAATGGTGGAAATCTAAACTTTTACCTTCTTACAAGAACCTCAGTAATTGGCCTGGTGTGGTGGCTGATGCCTGTAATCCCAGCACTTTGGGAGGCCGAGGCAGGCGGATCACGTGAGGTTGAGAGTTCAAGACCAGCCTGACCAACATGGAGAAACCCTGTCTCTACTAAAAGTACAAAATTAGCTTGGTGTGGTGGCGCATGCCTGTTAATCCCAGCTACTCAGGTGGCTGAGGCAGAAGAATAGCTTGAACCCGGGAGGCGGAGGTTGCAGTGAGCCATGATCACGCCATTGCACTCCAGCCTCGGCAACAAGAAACAAGAGCAAAACTCCGTCTCAAAAAAAAAAAAAAAAAAAACGAGGCTTGGGAATCTCTTCCACAGAAGCATGCTAGAAGAACCCAGTCCCTGGAAACATACACCTCTGCAATGGATATGATGAGGCCATTATTTTTTCCCCATCTGGATTCTGAACTTTTGCTAACTCCACCCGGCTATTGACAAAACAAGTTAATTCTTCTAAAGGGGGGCAAAGCACACACACAAATACAGCCTGGCTGTGGCCATGTTCTTCCATGACCCACAAGGCTGGCCCAAGGAGGAGATGAATGCTGTCAAAATAGGAGAACCAGAGGGTGGAAAGTCTTGCTGAAGCAGGTAGGGCACATTCTCAGGGTGCCAGGCCACCAAGTAGACTAAATAGGAGTTCAGTCCTGGCCAGTCTCTTCCCTAAAGGCAGAGGATTATTAGCCAGGGTCCACTAGGGCCATCCTGAGCCCAGTGAACTACGCTAGTGTGCCACCCAATGACGAGCTCAGAAAGGGGCTTTCTTTTCTTTTCTATCTCTCTCTCTCTCTCTCTTTTAATTTTTTGTTTTTCTGTAGAGACAGTCTTGCTTTGTCACCCCAGGCTGGAGTGCAGTGGCGCGATCTCGGCTCACTGCAACCTCTGCCTCCCGAGTTCAAGCGATTCTTATGCCTCAGCCTCCGGAGTAGCTGGGATTACAGGCGCATGCCACCACGCCCATCTAATTTCTTTTGTATTTTACTAGATATGGGGTTTCACCGTGTTGCCTAGGCTGGTCTTGAACTCCTAAGCTCAGGCAATCTGCCCGCTTTGGCCTCCCAAAGTGCTAGGAGTACAGGTGTGAGCCACCACACTTGGCCTAGGGGCTTTCTTTCCAGAGGCTTGGTCTTTCATGCCAGGAAGATAGTAGAATTCTGGGGCTCCAGGACTTCAGTTTAGAGATACACTAGATTCTCACATGGCCAGGAAGCTCTTGTTTCTCAAACTTGGGAAATAAAACCAAATTGTATAGACTGTCAAACTATTACCCTGCAACATTCACCCAACCAATCTATTGCTGGCAAATACTAAGTTTCCATGTGCCCAGCTTCATACCAAGCTACAGGAGATAAGGATGACACAGTTCCCTTTCCCTGTCCTTCACAAGGCAGTCGAGGTGGCTAAGAACTAACATTTGTAGATGCTTGATTATCAGTTTACAAAGCCCATTCATGCCTACTCAATTATCATCATAACTCTGTTGGGATTAGATTTGAATAGACAGAATCAGCATCACTAATAAGTGAGGTAAAAGAGAACCCCAAGTAGACTAAGTAATTTTCCCAGGACTATACAGTAGATAGCAGAGGCAGGACTAAATCCTAGGTCTTCTGATTCCTTACACAGTCACTGCCAGCAGCAACAGTCCACACGTCTAGAAAAGGCTTTATTAAAAATCACACAGTGAAAGCAGGGGGAGCCCTATTCCTGGCTCAAAGATAATCCCTTAATGCAAAACCCAGAAAAAGTGTGTTAGTTCTATCTGGGGAGATGGGTGAGCATCTTTCTTAATAAACAAAAGCACGAATTAAAGACCAAGGCTGATAGCAAGACCACAGAAGGGCCCATTAATGTCCAGAAGGACTCATGGGTGGGTGGTGACTCTTCGGGAGTTTTATCTGCACTGCAGATAAACCCTGTTTTTGTTCCTTAACAGTAGGTCTTGTGCAGCAGAGATCCTAACTCACCGAGGCAGAAGCTTTGGTATAACAAATGACCAAGTGACCATAAAGCACCAGGGGCAGCTCTGGGAGATAGGAACATGGGGGATCTCATGGCCTTTGGGTGGAGCCAGGGAGCCAAACGAATTCTAAAGCAGAATTCCGTGCCGCGGCTTGAGCAACCAATAAAGCGGAAAGACTTTAAGGACTCAGTAAAGTCCAAGAATACCAGATGCTCCTGTAAGATGGAATTGAACTCTGTAAAGTGGAAAGAACTTTATTAGTTCTTCCTCATATGGAACGAAGAAAACTCCCACCCACAGGTCTAGATTCTGCCCTCTGGGGTAATAAAGAGTTAGTTGCTCTTTGCAACCTCATTCCCATGGCAGTGCTTCAATTACTAGAAGACAGCTCTCATGTGTCTTCTCCTAACTTCTCCCCATAGTTAACCTTGGTTTCCTCAACTTTCCTTCAAATTACATGGACCACATGGTTTGGTTACCTCCTCTGGGCCCCTCCAGTTTGTTCAAGAACATTGTAGAAGGTTGCATTTAGAATAGAATAATAGAATGCATTGGCTGGGCGTGGTGGCTCATGACTGTAATCCCAGCATTTTGGGAGGCTGAGGTGGGTGGATTACTGTGGTTAGGAGTTTGAGACCAGCCTGGCCAACATGGTGAAACCCTGTGTCTACTAAAAATACAAAAATTAGCCAGGCATGGTGGTGTGCCTGCAATCCCAGCTACTCAGGAGGCTGAGGCATGAGAATCACTTGAACCTGGGAGGTGGAGGTTGCAGAGAACCGAGATCATGCCGCTGCACTCCAGCCTGGGCGACAGAGTGAGACTCTGTCTCAAAAAAAAAAAAAAAAAAGAAAGAAAGAATCGAATGCATTAGTCACACACAGCTCATGATGTGTATGGTTTGAATACCTTTGAATACTATTGCTTCTTTTGATCTGTACATTGTACTTTCATTAACCAAGCCTGTGATAATACTCACTATCTTCGCAGCTATCACACAGTTGTACTTAGTCAAATAAATACTCCAGAGCTTTTATGAGCTCTGAATCTTTTCTTCTTCTAAGCGGAAGAACTGATAAGGAATAGGACTAAGAGTCTCGAAGGTGAAAATGCAACTTAGTGCTCCCAAGCATGGCTGAGATATTCTCAACCTAGTATTGTTACATTGCTACCACATGTGGGAAGGGGAGAAAGAGAAAGTGGTGGAAAGGACCAAGAATCAAATTTTGGTAGGAAGATTCTAAGAAACCAAACCACGGCTTCCTCTTTCCTTTCTGTGACGTGAGCTTGGTTTTACATGTTAAGCCAAAGATAGCTCTAATTCTGGGCTTACTGTAGGTCCTCAAGAGTAGTTATTGCTGGAAGAAGTTATATCCTTCATTATGGCACACTCACCACAGAAAGGACATTCATTCAACAGACATTTATTGAGAGCCTATAATAAAGCCAATCAACACCAATGCCATCCCACATCCCCTCTTCTCTAGAAAATTTGCTGTGATGGGACTTTTCTATGTCTTTGCTTACATGTTTAACACCATCGATCACACAAATTAGTGGTCTGGAGACTGTCAGCAGTGCAAAGCTTAGCAGTAGTAGTGGGCAAAAAGGTAATCCAAAATATAAAAATAGACTCTGGAAACAAGTGTTCATGAAAAACCCACTAAGTGTAAAAGACTTTTTTATACTAATAGAGCAAAAAATAATAATATCCTAAATGACTTACCATCTAGCTAGGGAGGTAAAACGCAAATGAAATCATTACGATATTTTAACAAATTACACCACAGAGCTGCTTAAGAGCTGTCCCAGGCAGTATGTGGCTTTAGTAATTACCATGGGATTATAATGGAAATTTGGCCTGGGCTGGTCAGAGAAGCCCTTGTAGAGGAGGAGATCTGAGTAGGACCCTGAATGACCACTATGCTCTAGATAAGCAAACATAAGAGGGAGAACATTCCAGAGAAATGGGGCCATATGAACAAAAACTTGGAGGGAAGAAAGCCAAGTGTGAGTTCGAGGATAGCAAAGAAAACAATTTGTTTGGAACAGAGTTCAACAACCAAATAAATAACTAGATGGTGGAAAGGTAGGTTGGAGAACAGGCTACAAAAATATCAGAATATTAGGTAAGTGTGGACTTTATGTATAGGCCAGTGATTCCCAAACTTTGATTATATATCTCTGTCACTGAAAATAATTTTGCTCGTGTACCCCCAAACATGTAACTTGTTTATAAATTCTATATTTATGCTACTGTACTATCATTATATACATAAGAAAACACACACAAAACCATTTTAAAATGATATAAAGAGGCTCTAATATTTTCTTCCCATACCCCAGTAAGTTGTCTTATGTACCTGAGGGCACCCCCCCATTGGAGACCACTGCTTATGTAGCCAAGAGGGAGGCAATAAGCAGTGTTTACAGAAGACCAATTGGGTGTGAAGGCAGACTTAGCAGAGAAAAGGCAGGCAATGGCTACTGCAATACTCCAGGAATGAATTCAGGGCCCATGCTCAGATGGTAAAAGAAAAAATGCAAAAAAGAAAGAAAAAGGATGACTTTAAGAAAAAAATTAAATACAGCATTTGTAGAATGAAGAGGGTATATAGGTTGGTGTGGAGAGGGAGAGCAAGTGAGAAGCAGTCAGAGAGGGGTCTTTGAAAGTCAATGTAGTGCCCAGAAGAGTACTTAACTCCTGCTGGTAGGAAAAGGAAAGATGGCAGGAAAATAGACGATTTTCAGGAGTTTGACACTAGGTACTGAAAACAGCAGGTTTTTGTTTTTTTTTTTTTAATTAGAAAGGAAAATTTAGCAGGAAAAGAATAAACTCATATGTATTAAACCTCATTCATATAGTATATGCTGGGATATCTGAAAAGGGAGTTACTATAGTCAAAATTATTAGGTAGCTTTCCATAGAGAGCATCCATCATTTTCCTCTAGCTCCTGGGCCAAGTGATTAATAAGACTGCCCAATAGAAGTCTGGCAGAAGCACAGACATTTATCCTAATGAGAATTGCAGGAAAAGCTAAATGGGTGATATGGATGAGAGTGAAAGAAAGGAAAATGCTTCCAATTGTCATCCTGTGGTGATACACTTAAATGTAAAAACAGGAGAGTGGAGGAACAGCTCCATCCTAATGAGCTATCCAAAAAGGGGCCCTTTCACCAGCATTATGCCAAAACCCCAAACCTGCTCAGACTCATCACCTATCCCTCCAACGGGCTGATGGGTCCATGAGACAGTCACAGGCTAGACAGGCTGCCAGTGGCTTATGTTCAGTTTTTCCCCCCATTGTAGGGCTAGGCACTGACTCTCTTAATTTATTGTGGTGAGGTATCCACACACTTTTGCCCATTCCCCTTTATAATCAGCAGTCTACTTTTGAAAGACTTTGCACGCTGGAAGGCTACCCAAGTCCCCATAAAATTTCCTAGTGCTGTCAAATATCCAATCAGTGTGTTCTGGGTCTCAGCATCGCGGTGTACTAGCTTCTGGGCTAACCAAATACATATCAATCACTGACTGAATGCCACTTGCCTGTGGGCCGCTGGATCAGGCTTGCAATGAGGTGAGTTTGTCTTGAATAGTTTTCAACTTTCATCAACACTGCAGCCCCCAAATGATGTATTAATTCCCTATACCCATTCCCAAACAAAGTCAAAAAGGACTCTGGGGTACAGCTTTTTAGAAACCATCATTAGCTGCAATCACATAGGAAGAATGAGGACAGGTGCAAAGGAGAAAACGGCAGACAGATGCAAGCCTGGAGCAGTGTGAAGGTGAGACACACACAGAACTGCCTCCAGGACCCCCACTTACCAGCTTGTTTTTGACCAACTTTTCTATTGCATTGACAAGGTCTGCAGCAGTAGGTACTTCAGTGGAAGCCTGCCGGGCTGCTAGCAAAGAGGAGGACTGCAAGACATCGGGCAGCAGAGGAAAAGCAGATTAGCAAAGAATAAGGAACAGTGATCAGGAAATAAAACAGAAAGTCCAAAGCTCAAGCCAGGGAAGGGAAGCAAAGTTCTGTGTTTAGACGGAAGAGGTGACAGAGGGAGAAGAGTGTGGGTGTAATACATACAGGCCTGCCCAACCCCTTATTAGGAATTCTAGCCAGCAGCAAATGGATGGTACTAGGCTATCCTTAGGCAAGCCTATGAAGGAGGGGAGAGGAGAAATCACTGACTTCCTGGGAGGCCTACAGACTAGTGTTGTACCTACTGACAGCAACAGCTTGGAGGGCGGGGGCTACTGCTCTGTGGGCAAACGAGACTTTGGCCACTACACAGCTGCCCGTTGCTGTTTTGGGGTGTGAAGGATTCAACAAACCCAGCCTTGAGTGTGTCCAAAAAAGGGAAACAGTCCTTGCTTTACTACAGCCTTAGATATAGATCTTTATTATGTGTCCAGCAAAAATGCTAGGGGCAGGACCCTTAGAGACCAGCAAGCTAGATACTCCCTTCCTATATTCTCTCCCTCTGTCTTCCTCTCCCGCTCTGCCCCTGACACACATACACCCTTACCCCTCCACAAAGCATAGCTGGCTCTGGTAAGGCCCCTGAACTGGAACACTAGGAAGTAATAAAAGGCTTTAGCAGGAGTCCTGAAGCAGCTAGGAACTACCCTGTTCATAGTAAAGAGAGACGACTCCAGGACCTCCCTGTGTCCCTTTTCCCCTGCACCAGCAGTGAGGAGTTGTCCATGTGGTTGTTTGTGTGGTCAATGGTTTGGGGCTTCCTGCTCACTGAAGGATGGTGGTTTTTTGTTTGGCTTTTTCTTCCTTCTTCTACCTGAGAAGAAACTGGGGGAGAAATAGTTAACCCTGCACCGTTTGTGTGTGCTTTTACTTCCAGCTTATCAGAGCAGGGGGCAGTGGTGTTCCCAAGGCCAGGACATAGGCTCCTTCAAGTTTGCCCCTTGGGTTAGAGAGAAAGTTTCAAAAATGAAGCTTCTCATCTAATCTAAGTTACTTTATTAAGTCTTTGCTTCTGAGATGGGAGGAAAATAATTATAATTAAGGAAGATATAACAATATTCTTTTTCCTCTCTTGGGGACTGCAGGAAAAAGCTTACGTCCATGTGGAAAATCAAGCTATCCTCTTTTTAATCTAGTAATCCTACTCCTGGGAATTTATTCCAAGGACAGAAGTCAAAAGAACAAATGCTGTATATACACAGTGATCTGTATGTAGTAGTATTAGCCATAGTAGCAAACAATGGAAACACCCTGTTAGGATGTCCCCAACAGGCTGATCAAACACATTATGGAACAGCAAATAAGCAAAATTTTCTCCAGCTATTAAAATTACAGCTAGGAAGAAAAAAATTCATGCAATTTTAGGAAATGGTAGTAAATAAAACATTGGACACAACATATGCATATTATAATTGTAAAAGTAAAACGTACACACATAAGAAAAAGATTAGAAGGAAACAAGGAGAAGACAATTGCACAATATTACAACGGTGAACTTTTAAAAATTCCTTTGACAGTGTTGTAAAAATTGTTTTAATACATCCAACTCCATTTGCTAGATGCTCTGAAGTTCATCCCACTCCCAAACATTTATAAAAAACATACAGAAATCAAACAAGCAGGAATAAGGAGAGTTCATGTATCTGAAAGGAGACTGTTGCCATCTGCCCCATTTCTGCATAAGGAAAAGGCTACACAAATAAAGGTAAGTCAGAATTCTGGGTTAAAAATTATCCAGAAACAATGTAACATCCATTTCTGTAAACAAGCTGTGTTTGAGGGAATTAGAGAGAGAAGGTGGTGACCTTATGCAAGTGGGGCCCTTGCACAGAGGGCTGTGTGAGACATGGGCACCCTACTCCTTAGGCCATGATCGCTGTTTATAAAATACATTACAAGTAGGCAGGTCTCATTTCCATCTCAAGGTGAAGCACCAGCACTTCTGTCTCAGGAACCCAGGATGGTATAACACCAGCCTTCCTACTATGTCTCTTCCCAATAATCCAGAGTCAAAGAGCTGGCCCTGAAGACAGGGCCACCAACATCACCTAGGAGGGGCCACGACTAGGTGAGTCACATCATGGGGGCAGCTGCCACATCTCAGAGTCCCTAGACTTTGTCCTTCCGGCCTAGCACAGAGGAAGACTTCAGTTAATGTCTGTGGGTTAACAATTCAAATGCAAAGCAGAGAGAATTAAAATAAGAACTGAGATGTCACCAGAAAGGACACACCCGCAGGAGGCTGTCCCACTACAGGGCAGAGCACTAGAGAGCACAGGAGAGCCTGGAGGGACAGGTAGACAAGCTGCCACATCCACTACCACCACTGCAACAAAACAGCACTTGAAAAAGCAAATGGAAAGTGCCATACAGTCAAAACCCAAACCTGCCGCTTCCACGTCCAGAGTCTAAGAGAATCAGCAACACTTAAGGCAGAAAAAAAAAGGTGATGTGAAAGCAGAGCTGCAAGGAGACTGAGTGACAAGTGAGGGAGAACATAAAGCTGCCCCAAGCCTCGGGTCAGTACCTGGAAGCACGTCTAACCTACGCTTCTGCTCCAGAACAACTGGGATGATCACCGGGTGACTGGAGACACAGGGGGCATCGATATTTCAAATACCAGTGAGCCTATGCATGCCAGCGGGCCGGGGAATCTTGCAAAGCAAAGTCAGGCAATTTCGCATATTAAGTTTGCCCACCTTTGACAATAACTTCCCCTTAGCAGCATCTTCATTCCTCATACCGTCATTGCAAAATTTGACCAACACTGGGCTTGACTGGTAGCTACCATTAGTTAGAGTTTAGAGTTGACTATAGGGAAAACAACTAACATGCAGGTTGTACAGTCAGGTACGACAAAATGGTTGTGGACTGGAACTACCTGGAATTGCTCCTTTTAGGATGTGCTGCTTCCAAAGACAGAGCCATTACCCTTTATCAACAGGACAAGACACCAGGCAGATTCCCACTTTGAGAATTCTGCACACACCCCCTCCACTGCCTAGAATGAAGTTGGACCTCCAGGGTTGGGGAAGGGACACCTACCAAATAGAGACACAATTGGTATCAACATGGATTCATGTGGACGACGAGATAACATGGGAGAAAGAGTATGACTACCCCCATCACACACAAAAAACAAAATCACGCACGGCACGTTGCTCTTTTAAGTGAGCAAGTAAAGAAGTTCTACCATTTCATCCTGTGTAGGGTCGTTGTCAAAAATCTTCATAGGTGGTGGGAGGGGTGTGTGTGACTCTTCATCCGGCTCATCTTCACCCCAACCTTTCTTGCTCTTCTAGAACAAAAGAGCAGCATTAGTTACTGTGTCACAAACATGCCAGTGGTTCTGGACTTGACATTAACAAAAATAATACATAGGAGGAGAGTTCCTCTCTCAACTCACTCTTAACTGTTCAGTCGCAATTTCCTCTTTTGATACATGGATACACCTGCTTATTTCAAATGAGAGTGAGCACCAGTGGGGAACACACACACACACACACACACCCCCAAAAAGAAGCAAAACCAGAAACTATCTATCTTATCGATTAGCAAGAAAAGAAAAAGCTGGAAGTAGTCAGAGAGAGCCTAACTTTTACATTTTTGTAGGGCTATGAAACCATAGCCCAAATGCCGCCAGGCTTAGCTGCCATTTCCAGAGGGAGAAATGGCAGGTAGCATAAAATCACAACAAGAGGGGGTCCAGTTACACATCACAAAGAATTTCTTAGCCACATCAGTGATTAGAGCAGGATTGTGTGCCAAATAAAACAGGTATCTCATTTCCCCAACCAAAACATATCCACTGTCTTTTGGTTACAGAATCTCAGCTTCATCCAGCCTAACTTTGGCTACAGTCTCTCAAACCTTCCAGTATGGGCGTTCATTAGTTTTCATGAAGGCCCATTTAATCACTGACTGACTCCTAGATTAAACTTTTTCTTTGAGCGGAAACCCTGCCTATTGTAATCTTCATCTGTTCATCATAGTTATCTGGAGTAACTCTGGATGATCTATTCCTTTTGATGTGTGGCACTGCTCAAGAGACTTGAAAACAGCTACAATCTCCCAGCACAGTCCTGTTTTCAAAATGAAACAATCTTCATTCTTTTATTCTAAATCTAAACAGGTCTAGCTGGTTTTAATGTAGTCCTTAGTAGAGGTAGGGAACTAATGACCAAATGACTCCCCTCAGGCCCAGGTCCTATCTCCAAATCTGGCAAATGGTTTCTGTCTGCTGGAAGTCTTAGGGGCTAGTCAGCTTCTGAATCAGCCACAAATCAAACTGGCCAATGTCTTAAGAATAAAAAGAATCCAAATCACTTAGGCTCAAGGTAACACACTAATGGAGATTTGAGATGGCCTAGTTGACAAAACCTGAGGAAGGAGACATGTCAGAAGGCCCTCCTGATGGACAACTCCAGGGCCCCCTGTAAGTACCTCATCAGCGCTGTCTCCCTGAGGGGTTGTTTCATCCCCAGGCTTGGGAGATCCCAGGTCAAAGCTCTTCCGACCATCGCGAACTTTCTTCTGCTTTTTGATGTTTCCATCTGCCTTCCCGCTGTTAAGCCGACGCACAGGACTCGTCAGCCACTTCTTAAGAGTGTTGGTGGAGCGCTTGGGACCCGGGGAACTGTGGATGGAGTTCAGGGAGGGCTGGGCCTGCAGGTTGGCCACGGACTCGGACTTGCCTCCATTCTCGCTTGAGGAATGAGAGTATGCATCTGAGGAAAACGGACAGACACAGCCATGTCAGAGGTGGTGAAGGCAGGCCGCAAACCTGGGACTGAGACAGCTCCATCCTCAGGAAGCTAGGACACAAGGCAGAATGTCCAGGCCAGCTGTAGACCCCAGTCCAGAGAACCCTCTCAACAACAGTAAGAAAGGCAAACGCTCACTCAATTTTTAAAGTATGAAGCACCATTCCCGGTACTATGGATACAGGAGTGGGCAGAAGACAGAAACTCCTGCCTTCGCGGAGTTTACATTCTGGTGGGAAACACATATAATAGACTATAAAAATAAAATAAGCAAAATGAAAAGTATGACAGGTGGTGAGAAGTGCTACATCAAAACACAAAGTACGGGAAGGGATTAGGGAGTGCTGGGGTTGGAAAAGGGGGTGCAGATTGAAGAGGTGATCAGGGCCAGTCTCATGACATGACATGTGAGCCAAGGCCTAGTGGTGGTGACGCCATCTGGCGAAGGGCCTTCTGGGCGGAAGAGCAAACACAAAGGTCCCAAGGCAAGGCCTGGGGTGGCCTTGGTGGAGTAAGCCGGGGGGATCAGTAAGAAAGGAAGTCAGAAAAGCTACTGGGAGCTGGGTCAACAAGCATGTGGTAAGCCAGTGCTATGCCTCTGGCTTTTACCTGGAGTGAAAACCCACTGGAAGATTCTGAGCCAGAGTGATTCAATCTGGCTTATATTTTTAAAGGTCATTCTGGTTTCTATATTGAGGGCAAGTGGAAATAGGGAAACTGGTTGGGAGGCCACTGCACTATTCCAGGTGAGGGATGTTGGTGGTTTAGAAGTAGGGTGGTCCTAGTGGTTGTTAGAAGTGATCAGATTCTGGAGATGTTTTGCTGGAAGGGCCAATATGAATTGCTGACAGACTATGTGTGTATGGGATATGAAAAAAGAGTCAAGGGTATCTCAGGTTTTGGGTCTGAGGTTAGGATGGGGTTCCTGAGATGTGGAAGAATATAGGAGGAACAGGACTCAGGGAGGAAATATAGGAGTTTAGGTTTAGACATCTTTGAGATGCCCATTAGATACCTGAGTGGAGAAATTGAATAGCAGCTTGCCTTCAAGTCTGGAGCTCAGGGGAGAAAGTGCTGGTGAGCTGGAGATAATTGCAGAGTTGTCAGAGGAGAGATGGGGTTGGAAGCCATGAAGCTGGGTGAGATCAGCGAGAGGCATGGGTATGGATAAAGACAAAGTCCAAAGACTAAGCCAGAAGCAGGAAGACGAGAGGACAAGAAAGTAGCCAGTGAGGTAGGAGTAAAACCAGGAGGGTGGGGTGTTCTGGAGGCTGCACGTGGAAAATGTCTTACAAAGGGAGAAATCGGCGTGTCAAATGCTGCCTGATAGGTCAGGAGAGTTGACCTAAGAATTAAGTCTTAAAACTGAGCAACATGGAGATCATTGGTGACTTTGAAAAAAGCAGCTGTAGTGGAATGGAGGGGGCCATGGCCTAATTAGAGAGGATGCAAGAGCATGGGTGTGAGAAACAAGACAGAGTATAGAGAATTCTTGTACTGTTTTAAAGGCACAGTGATTGGAGAACAAGAGTTTGTTTTGTTTTGTTTTGTTTTTTAAATCTCAGCATATTGTTTGTAAGCTGTATGCCATATATTGACTATTTTCAATCGTATATGCTTGCAATAGCCTAAACATTTTATGTGGACTATCATTTCATTCTCCGTATAACTCTATGAGGTAGGTTCTGTCATTATCCTCATTTTACAGAAGAAGAAACTGCAGACTTAAAGAGTTAACTTGCTTAAGGACATACAGCTCATAGGGGCAAGGTGAAATCTGAACTGCAGACAGCCAGACTTGAGCACTAAACTACACTACTGGAGCCGGGTGTGGTGCCTCATGCCTGCAATCCCAGCTACCCAGGAGGCTGAGGCAGGAGAATCACTTGAACCCAGGAGGCGGAGGTTGCAGTGAGCCAAGATCGCACCACTGCACTCCAGCCTGGGTGACAGAGGGAGACTCCATCTCAAAACAAACAAACAAACAAACAAACAAACAAACACTACTGGGCCTTTCATGTCTACACCCGCCCAGTTCTCTAGGCTCCCTCTGAATATGGGGTTAGGGATGAGGTTTGAGGAAGAGCAAGTCCAGGGAAAGCCACGCTGCCATGGAAGAATAGAGAGGCTAGAACAGGCATGTGGCAGATGTGGGCATGCAGGAAAACCACATTGAGCAAACTTTATTTAATTTTCCCTAAATCCTTGATTTCTGAATACTCATTAAACTCGGAGGAGATCAGCATTAGCATCTACCTACCTTGGCTTTAGAGAATAGTTTTGAGTTATTCAAAAGAAAGCCCTTTAAGTCCACTTCAGATGTCTTCCTAGTTCTCAGTGCTTGTTTCTACCAGTATTGAGAAAGCTGGGCATTCGAAAGTTGCACAGGAGCATCAGCATGCAAATCAAGATCCTCAGTGAAAATTCCTAAGTAATAATTATGTCATGGAGCACTGATTAGGTCATGTATTATAAAGATATATAAGACAGATTTTTATTTTCGCAGACCTCTTACCTAGCTATACATAGATATCCATACACAATAGAGAGAAGCAGAGAGAGAGAGAGACAGAGAGAGAGAGAGAAAAAATGAAAAAGCAAGATTAAGCATGCAAAATAAAGATAAATTCACAAGGCTGTATGTGATTAATTGCCAGAGGGCTGGTATGGACTTTAGCTGACAAGTAAGCAGAGTTCAGAGGAGGGTGAGATCAGTGTAGGCGGGATTGATCTGAAAAGATTTAATGGAAGAGCTGTATCTGAATAGAAGGGTGAAGGAATTCCAAAAGGGAGAAACAGCAGGAACAAAAGCACAGAGGCAGGAAAAATGAAAAATAAGTTAACAGCCAGTAATAGATCCTTTGGATGAAATAAAGATTAGTGGAGAAAGAGAACCTGGATAGAAAAATTTGTGAGGACATTCAATAATAAACCAGAGGAGTATAAACTTTATTATGAGACTACTGGGAAATGACATGATAAAAAGAGTTTTTTTTGTTGTTGTTGTTACTGCTTTGTTTTTAACGAATCTTGGCAACTATATACAGCACAGCCCTGCGAAGGAGGAATTAGAGCCCAGAAAACCACACTAGGGCTGTGCACAGGGAATATAAAGAAATGAACGTGAGACACTTCAAAGCAAGAAGTGATACCATTAGCATCTGAACAAATCAAAGGTGAGTTGTCTCTGTGTATGCTGATGCTTCTCATCATCACCATGATCTTGGGAGAATACCTGACCAGCTCTACCTCACCCGCACATAGGCCCCCTGACAGTGCCGGTTTGCATACTGATATTTAAATCAAACACAGGACTAGGTATTTAAACAAATTATTACAGTGGCTTTTCATACCTACTCGAAGACTGAGTCACCTTTTCCTATAATGACTTTGCCCTAGACCTAGACTAGAGGTCTAATCTACCTGGGAGGCCCTCTGGCCTACATGCAGCCAATAGAGAAGAAATAAAATCCTGAAATAGGGTGAAAGGATATGGCTGGGCATGGTGGCTCATGCATGTAATCCCAGCATTTTGGGAGGCAGAAGTGGCCAGATCACTTGAGGCCAGGAGTTTAGGACCAGCCTGGCCATCATGGCAAGACTCCGTCTCTACAAAAAAAAAAAAAAAAAAAAAAAAAAAATTAGCCAGGTGTGGTGGCACATGACTAAAATCCTAGCTACTTGGGAGGCTGAGGCATGAGAACAGTTTGAGCCTAGGAGGCAGAGGTTGCAGTAAGCTGAGATCACACCACTGCACTTTAGCCTGGTCAACAGAGCAAGAGAAAGAAGAAAAGAAATGAGAAGAAAAGAAATGAAAAGAAAAGAAAAGAAAGAAAAGGAAAGAAAGGAAGGAAGGAAGGAAAGGAAGGGAAGGAAGGGAAGGAAGGGAAGGGAGGGAAGGGAAGGAAGGGAAGGAAGGGAAGGAGGGGAAAGGAGGAGGAAGGGAGGGAGGGAAGGAAGGAGGGAGTGAAGGAGGGAGGGAGGGAAGGAAGGAAGGAAGGAGGGAAGGAGGGAAGGAAAGAAGAAGGGAGGGAGGGAAGGAAGGAGGGAGGGAGGGAAGGAAGGAGGGGGGAGGGAGGGAATGAAGGAGGGAGGGAGGGAAGGAAGGAAGGAGGGAAGGAGGGAAGGAAAGAAGAAGGGAGGGAGGGAAGGAAGGAGGGAGGGAGGGAAGGAAGGAGGGGGGGAGGGAGGGAATGAAGGAGGGAGGGAGGGAAGGAAGGAAGGGAGGGAGGGAGGGAGGGAGGATGGAAGGAAAGGTGAATGGATGCTTTTGCCAATAGACAGCTGTCTCCGGTGGCTACAACTGGCTGGTCTCATGGGCACAAATCTCAGGCTTTCTGAGCCTTGACCCTGCTGGAACTTTCTTGGATATTGCTTGAGTTTTGTGCATAACTTGGAAAACAGCAGCAGAATATTTGTATTTGGAAGCATAAAAATTGAGCTTCTAAAATTCTCTGGTATGAAGGATAACTCACAGCGTTGCTATACTCAGGGAATATTAGGAGCTCGACTAACTTGGTTGGCATCTCTTTAAGGAAAAAGCTGTAATCTTATCTCAGAAAATTCCTTGCTGGCTGTGGTCTTGGGTGTGTTGACATTGTTTCTGAAGTGTTTGGTATGGGTCAAACTACTGTTCTCAGAAGGCTGGGTGATAAACATCTTCAGAACACTGGTAATAGAAGCAGGGCCTCTCTGCTATCTTTCTGCTGATAAGTTTGCAGAAGCTTTTCATTCACTAGACCCCTGTGATGCCATGTGGCTCTACTGAATCCAAGCCTTCAAGACTTATTATCAGCACATGTCGTGTCAGCAGAACTAGAAGTCCGGCCACATTAACTGTGCCTTGCGTTACCAGGCGAGACAGATGACTGCCTAAGATTTCTGTTCCATGGTACATCATGGCCTGGTTTTGAGATTCACAAATGCACATTTTGAATGACCATTCCTCTTCCCCTGTTGTCATTTACTTCTGCTTCTTTGCTTTCTGTGAAAATTAATGGCAAGAGTATAAAGTACAAATTAAAAACCAAAAGTAATCTCTATTTTGTTGTTTCAAGTTTGTTCCATGCAAGCAACTGGAGCCATGCAACCATGGCCCAAGTTATGGGAATCTCAGAGCTGGAAGCAATGTAATTCATCACCTAGTGGGTGTCCTGACTTGGGATAAGACCATTTCCAAGACACTTTAAATGTCTGGTTATAAAGGAATGTGGCATCATTTAGATTAGAAACATCTACTTAGTTAATCGCTTCTTCAGAGGGATTGGCATGTTATGCTCATCCCATCTTTTTTGGAAAATGGCTGCCATTAGCTGCTAGAGAACTTATTTTACTATCTTTCTAGATAAAACAGCTAAGTGACAGATTTGGAATAACTACAACAATAATATCGTTCTCTCGTCAAATCATCCCAAGTCCAGGCAGGTGTTATTTATTAGGATTCCCACCTTAGGAAACAGAAAATGAGACTGTTTTAGGAAACTGAGGCTCATAGTGACTGGCAAAGGCAAGACTTAAACCCAGATCTGACTCCACCACACATGTATTTAATCTTATCTCTACATCCAAGTTCATTCCATGTGTTCCTTTCATCTTTACCATTATTATAGAAGGGAGCATCAAGTTGCTTAAAGGTTTATATGTGGAAAACCACTTGTCACAAATCAGTAACAAAACTAGTACCAGCATCTAGGCATCCCTAGGCCTATTCTAGGGCTCTGAACCAATGCTTCCTCTTTAGCAAAGAAGCTTTAGAAACTGCCCAAAGACCAATGACTGGCATTAAGTAAATGGGAAGACAAATGGATCCCTGGACACTGCAAATAATAAAGAGCCCCTAATGTTCTGGTATGTACAGTTGGCTTTCTATAATTAAAAAAAATTTTCTGAAGCGAATTTTATCATGAAATAGTTTTAAAATACAGAAAAATATAGAAAAAAATTGACATCTATGTACTCATCACCTAGATATAGTGTAAACATTTTTCCATATTTACTCCAAGTTTTTTAAAAATAAAAGATTACAGATATAGTTGAAGCCTTTTATGTTGCCCAGTTGCAATCCTACTCTCTAATTGCCCTCATCAAAGTTAAATTCTCTTCTGAAGCTAGTGTGCATCTTTCTTATCCATGTTGTTAAACATTTACTTTTATGTGAATATAGTATTATTTTGTGTTTTATAGTTTATATAATTATCATAATGTAGGTATTACTTTGCAACTTCATTTATTCAAAATTATTTGAGATTTATTCATGTTCATACATGTAGATCTAGTTCATTCATGTTAATTTTTTTTTTCTTTGAGACAGAGTCTTACTCTGTTGCCTAAGCTGGTGTGCAATGGCGCGATCTCAGCTCACTGCAACCTCTGCCTCCCAAGTTCAAATGATTCTCCTGCCTCAACCTCTGGTGTAGCTGGGATTACAGGCATGCACCACCACACCCTGCTAATTTTTGTATTTTTAGTAGAGATGGTGTTTCACCACATTGGCCAGGCTGGTCTCAAACTCCTGACCTCAGGTGATCTGGCCACCTCAGCCTCCCAAAGTGCTGGGATTATAGGTGTGAGCCACCGTGCCCAGCCTCATGTTAATTGTTGAATAATATTCTTTCATAGGCTACATCATAATTTTGTAATATATTTTCCTAATGAACATTTGGGCATATGGGGATATAGAGATAAATAGATATATAATTGTACAAATCCATTTGCATGAGTGTGAGAATTCTTCTAGGCAGTGCTTCCCAAACTGTCTGTGGTAAAGAATCAGTTTTACTTGTTTCCAATCTATTTTGGACCAGTACTTTTTTTTTTTTGGAAGAAGATAGAGATGGGGTCTCATGATGTTGTCCGGGCTGGTTTCGAACTCCTGAGCTCAAGGGATCCTCCTGCCTCAGCCTTCAAAGCGCTAGGATTACAGGCATGAGCCATCATACCTGGCCAGACCAATACTTTTATGAAATACATCACACTCTTGGATGTTGTGGAACTGTCAAAACACTCATTTTCTGGGCTCATCTCACTGTGGATTGGACTTAGTTCAAAGACCTTGGCTGTCTGTGGTCACACACTGAACAGCACTGCTTTTACTCTAAAGCATAAATCTCCAGGTGGAACTGTCTGGCTCCACCACTGGGCACTGTTATGACTCTGGGCAGGTTACCTTGGTTTCTGTATCTCTGTATCTTGGTTTCCTCATCAGTAGGGAATATTAGAACCTATCTCATAAGGTTGCTCCTAGGATTAAGAAGTTAATATTTGAAAAGTGTTTAGAACAATGTCTAGACCCAGAGAAGCATTTGTTAAATAAAAATTAATAAAACCATAAAAACCTCCCCTAATTCCATGACTGACTTTTTTCTGTGTATTCATTCATTCTATCTGTGTGTTCTTCTACAGGCTAGTCTCGATATGTTAAGCGTCAAAAGTTTTAGCTTCAAAGTTCTGTGTCTCATGAAAGCAAAAGAAAAACCTAATACTACCAGTTGCCACCTGGTAATAGATTCTCCCTATCTCCAGTAAGTAATGATAGCTCTTTAACCACTCCTAAGACCAATGCCTGCAATCTCTTCCTAGAATAAGGTAGCCTCATCCTTTGGCTATCAGGCAATTTTCCCCCTCCCTCACCATTTGGAAGTTTAAGCAGCACAGGTTATTCCCTGAAGATGACACCTGCCTCCTTCTATCTATCTACAGGGGTATCCCTCAGAATGGGAGCCTCTGAAGGACTCTATGAGGAGGTAATTGAACAACTGTTGAGATTATGGTCTCAGATACCATCTTGGGGGTTAGAATAAGCACGTTGATGTTATTAGCCTAAGCCTTGGGGCAACAACTCCATGATTTCAGGTATTTTAATCACAGTACAGTAATCTCCCCCTTATCCATGAGGGAAGGGATGCAGTCCAAGATCCCCAGTGGATGCCTGAAACTACAGATGGTATCAAACCCTATATATGTTTTTTTCTATACATGTGTACCTATGATAAAGTTTAATTTATAAATTAGGCCTTAAGAGATTAACAACAACAACTAATAATGAAATTGGACAACAATAACAATATGCCAGCATCACTACTCTTGCGCTTTGGGAGCCATCATTTAGTAAAATACGGGTAACTTGAACGCAAGCACTGCAATGCCAGGACAATTGATCCGATAACTGAGGCAGCTACTAAGTGACTAATGGGCAGGTAGCATATACAGCATGGAGATGCTGGACAAAGGAATGATTCAGATTCACATCCTGGGCAGGACGGAGTAGGATGGTGTGACATTTCATCACACTACTCAGAACAGTGTGCAATTTATAACTTATGAACTGTTTATTTCTGAAATTTTTCATTTAATATTTTCAGACCTCAGTTGACTGTGGGTAACTGAAACTGTGGAAAGTGAAACCTCAGATAGACGGCGACTGTTTTAGCATGTTTCCATGCAACACACATAAGTGCTACCTGCTTCAACTGAAGACAAAAATCAGAATAAAGCCTAGGAGAGCTTGTGCACTGAACATATCCTAACCAGTCCATTGTCTGTGTCAAACATTGTCCTTCTTCTACTTAGGTAGCCTTTCATTAGTGTGATGGTTAATATTGAGTATCAACCTGATTGGATTGAAGGATGCAAAGTATTGATCCTGGGTGTGTCTGTGAGGGTGTTAACATTTGAGTCAGTGGGCTGGGGAAGGCAGACCCACCCTTACTCTGGGTGGGCACCATCTAATCAGCTGCCAGCGCAGTTAGAATATAAAGCAGGCAGATAAAACGTGAAAAGACTAGACAGGCCTAGCCTCCCAGCTTACATCTTTCTCCAGTGCTGGATGCTTCCTATCCTCAAATATTGGACTCCACGTTCTTCAGTTTTGGGACTTGGACTGGCTCTCCTTGCTTCTCAGCTTGTAGACAACCTATTGTGGGACCTTGCGATCATGTGAGTTAATAAACTCCCTTTTGTGTGTGTGTGTGTGTGTGTGTGTGTGTATAAATAAATATATATATATATATATCTCCTATTAGTTCTGTTGTCCCTCTAGAGAACTCTGACTAATACAATTAGTAACCAAATAAAAGGTACCTGCATAGGCCAGGCGCACCGGCTCACACCTGTAATCCCAGCACTTTGGGATTGTAATCCCAGCAATCCGAGGCAGGAGGATTGCTTGAGCCCAGGAGTTTGAGACCAGCCTGGGCAACATAGCAGAATGAAAGAAAAAAGCAAAGCAAAGAAAAGAAAAGGAAAGAAAGAAAGAGACAAAAAAGAAAGGAAGAAAGAGAATAAAAAAGAGAGAGACAAAGAAAGAAAAAAAGAAAAGAAAGAAACCTGTATAGACATCGGTAGGAACTGAATATACCAGAAATTTATTATATCTGATATAACTAATTTAGAAATTTAATTTCTTGTTTCTAAAGTTTCAACTCATACTTACTTCAATGTTACACCTAAAAAAAATGCTACTCCCCTTTCTGGTTTAGTGTAAAATTTGCCAAACGATTCTGAAATCAGAACACACTGTACACAAGTCATCAAAGAGTGCAAACATAGGCTCTGGCGAATACTTTATTGTTGCATCCACAGGACTGTCACCCATTACTTTTCTAATCACAAAATACTGACTTAGCCTTGTTTCTACTGACCCCAAGGCGATTTGGAAGTAGAGAAGGACTACAATTCCCAGACAGAAAAAGAAGATAATTCTAATAGTGTTAGGAGCTTAGTGTCCCCAAAGACCAGTAGCAGTGTCTTTGCAAGGGGTAGGCTGGGACCCTAGAGAGCAAGCATATGTGCAGGTGGCATCCGAGGCTTCCATGGATTGCGGGCATCACAAATATATTACTTATGAGGCTGGCTCACTATTTTCTACATTGGCTTGAGTAGTACAACTCAAAAATGAAAAAACTCGGTTTCAATCCATTCTTCTGGAGTTCAGTGATGGTATTCAAGCACACCCCAAAGGCATGTCTTCTATATAATGCATCATGTGATTGTTAAAAGACAATGGGGTCCAGTTGCTCCATATAAACCATACCTGTTTTATCTAGATGGTCAATAGGTCTATAAATGTCCACCTGGTGTTAATCGTAATACTGAATTGGAAACTTTGACTCCAATGGCTGAAATCAGAAGAAACCACAAAGATTTCTAATATCCACTAACAATTTACAGAGGGGTCCTTTGACCTTCTGTTCTTTTGCTTTAGCTCCAATGGCATGGGAATAATTGCAAACTCATTCATATTGCTTTCATATGGCTTGAGTTGTATAAGGCCAATGTACTTCAATACATCTGTCTGAAGATATTATATACTCAAACATTCCTATTTTCTTTGCTTTCCAGAAATAATTTGCTAATATAAAAATTATAGAAATATCATATATACATCTTTGTTCACACTGGAAATTGAATATCTAGAGAAGGGCACGTAATGGGAGGGCCAAAGGTGAAAATTTCCTGGGTAGCCAATGGATAAATCCATATTTGTTCATAAGCATTGACAGCATAAGGCCTGCAGTAAGTATTATTACATAATATGTCCTGCATGGTGTACAATAATACTCTGGCAAAATTTAACAGAATACAAGCTCCTGGTTGCATATTCAGCTGAGGTCCTGAGGCTATGTACGGCCAGGTTCTGGCACGGCTGGCTTCTCAGCAAACCATCTGGTTAGCCATCTTGGTGCCTGGGCCACTTAGTGCTGGAGAATGAAGATAGCTGCTATGGTGACAGCAACAGGAAATGGGGCCGGGAAGTGGGGGGAGCTAGAAATACTATTCCTTGACACTAGGAAACTTGTTGCCCTTGCAATTACTCTTAACACAACTTTAGACTAAACTTGGCAGATGCATCTTGGCTCAGAATATTCCATCTTCCATCTCTTAGTCATCCCCAAGTCTCAAATGCATAGCGCAAACCCCTGCCTCCCACTTACTATGCCACCACTTTTAGACCTAGTTTAGGAGTCTCTTTTCCAATGCATCCTTTACCAACTCAACATCCTTTACCTTACCACTTCAGTCAGACTTAACTTTGTGTTTTTATAAATTCTGTACAACTGAATCCTTATGCATTTAGAACATCTGTATCTATTTTTTCCCATTAAATTAAAAGTACAAAAGCAAGGGCCACATCTTAGTTCGTTTCTAGTTATTGTCCCCCTTCTTTTCCCAATACGGCTGCTCCTGTCCTGGCAGAATGTGTACAGATATCTGAGCCACAGAAATGATTCCAGATCCAGTGGCATCCACATAGGGCAGGGATCCTTCTCATCTTCAGAGCCCATTGGGACATTGGCCCTCAACAGGAATATTTCCAACAGGCAATCTCCAAAGACTCAAAAGTCAGCACCTCTGGCTTCAAATTAGAAGTCTCCTAAATTTTGTTCTAATTCAGTGCAGATCTCCCTCAACTACTGCAGGCTTCTTCAGTGCTGTCCTCCCCACGACCCTGGCCCCACGCTTTGGCTCCTGTTAGGATGGCATTGGAAGCAGAGGATAAAATGAAAGTTCCCAATTGACTGTCCTCAAGGTCTCCTCGACCTCGGGTTCTCCTGTGTAATCCTCTGTCTGAGTCAGAGACAGAGGGAGGAAAGCCCTCAAAGGGCAATGAACTCCACCCTCTGCCCCTAGATAAGCACTTCCTGAAAACACAAGGCCGCTGCTCTGATATACTGCTGTGCTGACTCACTGGACTCACTGCCCCATCTAGCTGTCTCTGGAAGTTAAAGGCGAGAAAATTCTCTCTATATTCCACCAGTGGTGGATTCTGAAGCTTGATATGTGGGATCAAGCAAAAGTCAGTGAAAGCAGATCTGCTGCTCTTCTAAGAGTAAATATTCTAGATATTATTTCAACCTACACACCCATTTACTTCTGCTAGAGTTTGCTGCAGCTTCTGGAGAGGGAACACACATTTTTTCTAAACTGTGGAGTAGAAAACTTTCCCAAAAGACTTCTGAAGAGTTCAAAACATAACCACCAAGGCCGGGAGTGGTGGCTCATGCCTATAATCCCAGCACTTTAGAAGGCTAAGGTGGGAAGATCAATTGAGATCAGGAGTTTGAGACCAGCTGAGCAACATAGCGAGACCTCATCTCTACTAAAAATAATAACAAAAATTAGCCTGGTGTGGTGGTGCGCTCCTGTTGTCTCAGCTACTTAGGAGGTTGAGGCAGCAGAATTGCTTGAGCCCAGGAGGTCAAGGCTGCAGTGAGCTGTGATTCCACCACTGCACTCCAGCCTGTGCAACACAGTGAGACCTCTGTCTCAAAACCAAAACCAAAACCAAAACAAAACAAAAACCATAGCCGCTGAAAGAATATGGTGAAACTTTACAAATTCAGACTGAAGAAAGGGCACATTATATTAGTATAAAATACAGGCCTTTCATTGTGGAAAAAAAAAAAACCAAAATGGTTTCACTATGATATCATCTCATACCTGTTAGAATGGCTATTATCAAAAATCAAGAGATAACAAATGCTGGTGAGAATGTAGAGAAAAGGGAACCCTAGCACATTGATGCTGGAAGTGTAGATTGATACAGCTATTATGCAAACAGTATGTAGGTTCCTAAAGAAATTAAAAATAGAATAATCAGGCTGGGCGCAGTGGCTCATGCCTGTAATCCCAGCACTTTGGGAGCCCAAGACGGGCGAATCATTTGAGCTTAGGAGTTCAAGACCAGCCTGGACAACATGGTGAGACCCTGTCTCTACAAAGAATACAAAAATTAGCTGGGTGTGGTGGCATGCACCTGTAGTCCCAGCTACTCGGGAGGCTGAGGCAGGAGAATTGCTTGAGCCTGGGAGGCGGGGTTGCAGTGAGCCAAGATCACGCCATTGCACTCCAGCCTGGGCAACGAGAGTAAAACTCTATCTCAAAAAAAAAAAAAAAAAAAAAAGAAGGAAAATAAAAAGGAATTATCACATGACCCAGTGATCCCTCTTCTGAGTACACATCCAAAGTAAATGAAGTTACTACCTCATAGAGATATCTGAACCCTTACATTCATTGCAACATTATGCACAGTAACCAAGATACAGCAACCATCTAAGTGTTTGCCAACAAACCAAGGAATAAAGAAACTGATGTATGTATTTATATACACAGACAATGAAATATTACTCAGCCTTTAAAAAGAAGGCAATTCTGCCACTTGGATGAACCTGGAAGGCACTATGTTAAGTGAAATAAGCTAGACATAGAAAACTATTGCATGATCTCCCTTATATGTGGAATCTTAAAAAAAAAAAAAAAGTCAAATATACAGTGATGGAAAATAAAACACTGGTTACCAGGGGCTGGAGTAGGGGGAAGAAACAGGGAGATGTTGGCCAGAGGATACAAAGTAGCAGATAACTATTTATATGTATCCTATAACATCATGTCATATACCTAAGATATATACCATAACATTCATTTTAAAATAGACAAACAAGAAATGCTTACTATTTTCAAGTGATGGCCAGCAAGAATTAGTGGATAAGTAGGAACTGAGATTGCCTGAAATCTGCACTCGCCTACGAAGACATCACAAGCACAACAAGGAGGGTCATCTAATTATGGCACAAGGCACCTACCAATTTCCGAGGCTGGAGTGGGCACCTTCTCCTGGATTTAGCTCTCTGCATGCAGCCCTCCCAAGCTCCATATCTGGCAGGTAAGCCCAATTTCCCCATAAATCAGGGCCACTCCTGAGTCCATGGTATGTCTTAGGCCTTCAAACAAGCCCTCAATGAGCTCCGTAAAGCACCGTTAACTCTATTAGCTTATCTAGTAATATTTTCTCCTTTTCTTTTCAGATGGTATGAACATAAACAAGTTCAGCCCTAGTAATAAGCACAAAGACTCAAAATAGCACTATACAAATGACTGTATATAACTGAAGACTCTCCCACAGAATGGGCAAGGCTAACTTCCAGTTTTGTTCTCCTACCAGCAGACTTTTCATTCACTAAGATTTCTGCATGGCTGGGCGCGGTGGCTCACGCCTATAATCCCAGCACTTTGAGAGGCCGAGGTGGGCGGATCATGAAGTCAAGAGATCGAGACCATCCTGGCTAACATGGTGAAACTCCGTCTCTACTAAAAATACAAAAAAAAAAAATTAGCTGGGCGTGGTGGCAGGCGCCTATAGTCCCAGCTACTCGGGAGGCTGAGGCAGGAGAAGGGCATGAACCCCGGGAGGCGGAGCTTGCAGTGAGCCGAGATCGTGCCGCTGCACTCCAGCCTGGGAGACAGAGCGAGACTCCATCTCAAAAAAAAAAAAAAAAAAAAAAAAAAAAAAAAAAAAAAAAGATTTCTGCACTGGTATTTTCTTTCCATTCCCACTGGCACTCAGATAGTTTAAATCTACTTGCTTTAACTACATAACAGCTCCAGACTGTCTCTCTGCCCCCAGTCTTTTTCTCCTATTCATTTGATATATCTCTGCCACCAGAGCAATTGTATCGCTTTGTTCAAATCACATTCAAAACTTCATCAATAGTATCTAATTTGTCAGCCTACTTTTTTATGGTAGTTCCACGATCAGGCCTGATCTCACCTTGCCTGTTCTCTGAGTTCCACTTTTTGATAATCCAAAGTTTTCAAACTGTGGTCCCCAGATCAGCAAGATCAGTATCATCTGGGGACTTGTGGGAAATAAAAATTCTTGGGCCCTACTCCAGAGCTAGTGGATCAGGAACTATTGGGGTGGCTTAGTATCCTGTGTTTTAACAAGCTCCCCAAGTAATTCTGATGTGCACCAGAGTTTGAAGACCAGTGTCCTATAAGAACCCTTCACTTTAGTCTAATTTTTCAGTTCACTGTACTATGTTGCATTCTTCCCTGCTTATACACCCTTTAGCTTTTCTGCTTTTCTGAAGCTTACCAAGGACTTCTTCGTTGTAAGCCCAGCATGTTCTCCTTTTGCTCTGAATACCTTTTTGTGCTATTTGTTTGGCACTGATAAATGCTTGTTTACATATTTTCCCTCACTGAGCAAAGTCCTTGAGAGGAGGTCTCCTCCATCTTTGCATTGCCAGCACAAATTCTTTGTTCATTTGTGTGAGACAGGGTCTCACTCTGTCACCCAGGCTGGAGTGCAGTGGCTCAATGACAGTTCACTGCAGCCTCAACCTCCTGGGCTCAGGTGATCCTCCCACCTCAGCCTTCTGAGTAGCTGAGACTATAGCCTCATGCCACCATGCCCAGCTAATTTTTTTAAATTTTTTGTAGAGACAGGGTTTCACCGTGCTGCCCAGATTGGCCTCAAACTCCTGATCTCAAGTGATCCACCTGCCTCAGCCTCCCAAAGTGCTAGGATTACAGACGTGAGCCACCACGCCCAGCCAACACAAATTCTTTGGTCATTAAATGGCTGGTAATGAAAAGCTAGGGACAAAACTTAGCAATATAACTTTTTTTTTTTTTTTTTGGAGATGGAGTCTTACTCTGTCACCCAGGCTGGAGTGCAGTGGTGCAATCTCAGCTCACTGCAAGCTCCGCCTCCTGGGTTCACGCCATTCTCCTGCCTCAGCCTCTCAAGTAGCTGGGACTACAGGCGCCGGCCACCATGTCCGGCTAATTTTTTGTATTTTTAGTAGAGACGGGGTTTCACCGTGTTAGCCAGGATGGTCTCGATCTCCTGACCTCATGATCCGCCCACCTCGGACTCCCAAAGTGCTGGGATTACAGGCATGAGCTACCGCGCCTGGCCAGTTCCTTAAGAAGTTCTAAGTGCTGCCCAGTCAATTAAAGATGAGTTAAGAAAGCCACCTTT
Organism: Homo sapiens; assembly: GCF_000001405.40. NCBI lineage: Eukaryota > Metazoa > Chordata > Mammalia > Primates > Hominidae > Homo > Homo sapiens. Next base: position 124,616,620 of record NC_000003.12, on the reverse strand, counting down.
TTCTTTACTGCAAGACTTCTGGGAACCTCTAATATGCTAATGTAGATGATGACCCCAGAGGGAACATAGAGCATTTACCAAATTTCATTGAGCTTGGCTATTATTCCCTAGATCTGGAAGAAAAAGGGTGAGTGAGACTCCTGGAGATGGTATTCTGACAGCAAGGTAGTCAGTCAAACTCAAAACCTGTTATGAATGCCAAAGTAGGAGCTAAGTTGCAGTCTAGCCGAGTTATTTTAGGCTTATGTACTATCACATCAAGTATACCCAGAAGCCAGTGGGAAGCCTGGCCTGGATTCAACTCACAATGTGCCCTTCAGTAGTAACCTTAACCAAAGGTAACTGCAACAGGCTTAATTATAGAGGCTGGGGGGAAGAGTTAAGCAGGGTGGCTCTGGAAAGTTTAAGACTGTAATTAAGTGCTACTTAACTGAAAATGTCACAATGGAAATTCTCCTAGGAAACCTGAGAGAAGAAGCAAGAAGAGGAAACTGCATATATGGAGGAAGTAACAGGTGGCTAGAGGTCAAAGACTGCTTGTTTGCAGTGTCCTTTTTTGGTAAACTGTATTTTTGGGTGGAACAGGAAAGAAAGTGTGAAGGCTTAGGGTCTCTTGGACTTAATGTAATAGGAGGCTCTACAGTCTTAATCTGATCCTCCTTCTCCCAACCACCTGTGCCAAGTGGGTTTTCTTCTAGGTCTTCACTACCTGGCTTAGGAAAAAGCAGTAGACAAGATTGAGTTCAGTCTAAGCCTCCTGACCAAGCTCAGTGTTTCATCCTACACTTTCCAAGTCTGTGCTCTTCCCGCAAAAGTCTCTCTGTGGTTCTCCTCTCTGGCCTCCTTGCTACCGGGAGCACAGATTCCACACTAAAGATACACACGGCTAGGAAAATGAACTGCCTGGCCCACCCTGCAACCGGATTCGCCAGTATGATCCCACTGGCACCAGTTCTTTAAAACTTTTTATTTTGACATAATTTCAGATTTAGAGAAAGGTTACACGACTAGTACAAATAATTCCTATATACTCTTTACTCAGATTCCTCCAATGTTAACATTTTGCCCTTAGCTTTTTCATCTTTCTCTTTCCAAACTGAGAATAAGTTACAGAGAAGATTCCCCTTTATTCCCAGATACTTTAGTATAGGTTTCCTTAAAACAAGGACATCTCTTATATAACCATAGGACAATAAGCAAAATCAGAAATTTAACAGTGATATCCTGTTTTTTTCAAATATTGACAGTTATTCCAATAATGTCCTTCATAGAGAAAGATCATGTCTTTTATGATCTGCACATCTTTTATAAGTACAGGGTAGTTATTTTGTAGAATGTCCCTCATTTGGTTTGCCATGTATTTCCTTATGATTACATTTAAGGTGTGTGTTTTTGGTAGGAATATCCCAAAAATGATGCATCAAATCAGGAGGCATACAATATTGATTTGATTAGACTATAGTTATGTTAACTTTGATCCCCTAGTGTCTGTCACTGGGACAGTGTTCTAATCCACCAGGTAAAACTGCATACTCACTTAGCCCAGCTGTTTTAAAACTCTGATATAATTTTGGCTTGCCTAACCCTGGTCATATATGTGACAAATTAACTATAAGTAATGTTTGAACATAATTCCCATGTAAAATACTCAATTCCATTCATGAAACAATTTCCTGATCACAAACATGAGAAGAGGCTAATTTTCTACTCCATTGAAGACAGACTGAACAGTGTATAATGAAGGTGGTTAGCTGGGTGTGATGGCTCATGCCAGTAATCTCAACATTTTGGGAGGTTAAGGTGGGAGGACTGCTTGAGTCCAGGAGTTTAAGACCAGCCTGGGAAACATAGTGAGACCCTGTCCCTACCAAAATAAAAAATAAATTAGCTGGGTGTGTTGGTGCACACCCATAGTCCCAGCTACTTGGGAGGCTGAGTGGGAGGATTGCCTGAGCC